>NC_000002.12:32561629-32714379 GCF_000001405.40 Homo sapiens | reverse complement strand
GAGACCATCCTGGCTAACATGGTGAAACCCTGCCTCTACTAAAAATACAAAAAATTAGCCAGGCATGGTGGCAGGCTCCTGTAGTGCCAGATACTCGGGAGACTGAGGCAGGAGAATGGTGTGAACCCGGGAGGTGGAGCTTTCAGTGAGCCGAGATGGTACCACTGCACTCCAGCCTGGGCGACAGAGCGAGACTCCATCTCAAAAAAAAAAAAAGGCGGGGGGGCGGGGGTGCGCTGCATATACACCATGGAATACTACGCAACCCTAAAAAAGAACAAGATTATGTTCTTTGCAGCAACAAAGATGGAGCCAGAGGCCATTAACTTAAGCAAACTAATGCAAGGACAGAAAACCAAATAGTGCATACTCTCACTTATAATTGGGAGCTAAATGTTGGATACACATGGATACAAAGAAGGGAACAACAGACATTGAGGCCTACTTGAGGGTGGAGAGCGGAAGGAGCTAAGAATTGAAAAATTACTTATCAGGTACTATGCTTATTACCTGAGTGACGAAATAATCTGTACACCAAAACCCTGAGACACACAATTTACCTACTTAACAACTTGCACATGTACCCCTGAGCCTAAGTTAAAAGTCAAAAAAAAGAACAAATATTCTAGGAAAAAAGTCATTTAAAAATTGTGAAATCTGACTTAATTAACACAGTTAAGAAAGTCAAATTGCAGTATAAACAGACTTCAGGGACAGAAAACTGCAATAATCTCAAATTTCCAATTCAATGCAATGTCCTCCTGGAAATCCAAGGAAGAAGAAAAATATTCCTGTTGGACAAATATCTTCAGAGGCACAACGGCTTGGACAGGGACAGAACTTCACGACTTAAATTAACAGGTGTAAGAGGTAACCAAGTAATTAAAATTCATTATCAAGATTATTTCAGTAATAAACATAAAACAATCTAACATTGATCTCCAAAGACTGAACTAAGTTTATCTAACACCATGTGAAAGGAGTTTGATATGAAAGAAGACAATGACAAATTTGGTTTGCACAATTTTTTTTTCAAAAATGTTTTGTTTTGGACATAAATAAGGTGGTCCCTTTGAATATATGTAGTTTCCATTAATTTGCTTCACATTTGGATTATAAAATGTTTTAGCCCCTTTGTGTTGCTGTAATAGAATATTAGGATTGGGTCACCTATAACGAGCAGAGATTTTATTTCTTATAGTTCTGGAGACGGGGAAGTCTAAGATGGAAGGGCCAGCATCTGGAAAAGACCTCTTGCTGCATCATCCCATGGCAGAGGCACAAGAGGGAGAGTGAGAGCAAGAGAGAGAGAGGGAAGGAAGCCAAACTCATTCTTTTATCAGGAACCTAACCCCTGAAATACTGGCATTAATCCATTAATGACCTAATCACCTCTTAAAGGTGCCATCTCTCAATACTTTTGCATTGGGGATTAAGTTTCCACCACATCAACTTTGGGAGATGCACATAAACCACAGCATATAAAAGAAAAGGATGTGATCTTCTGATAAAATGTTGAATATAAGAATTTAAGGCTGGGTGCAGTGTCTCATGCCTGTAATCCCAACACTGTGGGAGGCGAAGGAAGGTGAATAGCTTAAGCCCAGGAGTTCAAGACCAGCCCGGGTAATGTGGTGAAACCTTGTCTCTATAAAAAATACAAAAATTGACAGACGTGGTGACGCACACCTGTAGTTGGGAGGCTAAGGCAGGAGAAACAGGTGAGCCCAGGAGGTGGAGATCGCAGTCCCGAGATCATGCCATTGCACTCCAGCCTGGGTGACAAAGTGAGACTCTGCCTCATTTAAAAAAAGAAAAAAAAGAAAAAAAAAGAATTTAGATCAGATGCGGAAGGAAAGGCAGAATGACGATAGAGAACACTATTTTATACTCCACTGGTAGAAAAGCAGGGTGTAAATGATTACTGAAGAATATAATCTTATTTTATTTCAAGCAGCTTCTGAATCATAGCCATTAAAATAGTTTCCATAAACATTATTTTCTTCATTGTCACTAACATCACCACTGCCTTGAACATGCAATAAAAAATTGCAGCCTGAAATAATTTCAGAAGACAGGGTGTTTTTAATAGATTGTCCTCGACTTGGAGTTTCTTCTTCTTCTGTGGATCTTATAATCATGATTTATTTACCTTTAGTTGTGATTAAACATTTTCTTTTCAAGTTTGGCACGTCTCACTTAGAGATCTCTTCCAAATCTGCCATTCCTTAGGACTTGCCGTTGAAGCCTTCAGTGTAACTGCCGGCAACCATGTAAGTCTGTGTAGTCCAGACTGTCACTAACTAGCCAGACAAACTGGGGCAAGGTTACCTGACTTCATCACACCTGCATTTCCTCAACACATAATAGAACAAGATTAAACTTTTTCCTAAGGGGGTCCTTTCTAGCTTATTTTCCTTAAGTCTTTTTTTTTTCTTTTTGAGACAGAGTCTCACTCTGTCACCAGGCTGGAGTGCAGTGGCACAATCTCGGCTCACTGCAAACTCCACATCATGGGTTCAAGCAATTCTCCTGCCTCAGCTTCCTGAGTAGCTGGGATTACAGGTGCCTGCCACCACGCCCAGTTAATTTTTGTATTTTTAGTAGAGACAAGGTTTCACCATTTTGGCCAGGCTAGTCTTGAACTCCTGACCTCAGGTGATCCACACACCTCAGCCTCCCAAAGTGCTGGGATTACAGGCATGAGCCACCGCCCCCAGCCTTTTCCTCAAGTTTTAAGTTTACCATTTTATCACTTTACACTGCTGTGGAAGGGAACAGATTTTCATAGAAACTAAAACAATTAAAAAAACACAACACTGTCTTAATATATACATGTAATTTTAAAATCATTTTCCTCTTATTCCTCAGGGATGCAGTAACTTCAACAAACAAAGTAATATCAAGTTCTGAATCAGGGGAATTGGCAGAAGTTCAGATTATGAGCTAAATGCCTCAACATTGACAGAAACTTAGACAAATTGTGCATTCATCCTGTCACATGATCTGACTAATTTCCAAGATTTCTGCGTTGGGGAAGTAAAGAGAATTTTCTACAGTACTACCCTGCGGAGGCAGAAGTAACTGTCTAATTCTGTTCTACAGGTAGTGGACTACGCAACTCTCTTGATAATGCAGCATTTGAATGGCAAAATGAACGAACCCCAAATATAGTAAGGCCAATGCAAAGGTAAAATGCCAGAGCACAGTGATTTGGCTCTTCTCTTCTTCTTCTTCTTCTTTTTTTTTTTTTTTTTTTTTTTGAGACAGAGTCTTGGTCTGTCACCCAGGCTGGAGTGCAGTGGCACAATCTCAGCTCACTGCAACCTCTGCCTCCTGGGTTCAAGCCATTCTTCTGCCTCAGCCTCTCGAGTAGCAGAGATTACAGGCACCCACCACCATGCCTAGCTAATTGTTTTGTATTTTTAGTAGAGATGGGGGTCTCACCATGTTGGCCAGGCTGGTTTCGAACTCCCAACCTCAAGTGATCCAAATGCCTTGGCCTCCCAAAGTGCTAGGATTACAGATGTGAGCAACTGCTCCCAGCCTTCTTTTAAATCTATGTTTCCCACTCAAAACACATTCTTGTTATTTGATATCTAAAAACATAATCTTCACAAATGCAGGTTTAGAACTGAAAAGGTATATACAGGCTGGGCGTGGTGGCTCACGTCTGTAATCCCAGCACTTTGGGAGGCTGAGGCAGGCAGATCACTTGAGGTCAGGAGTTCAACACCAGCCTGGCCAACATGGTGACACCCGTCTCTACTAAAAATACCAAAATTAGCCAGGTGTGGTGGCATATGCCTGTAATCCAAGCTACTCAGGAGGCTGAGGTAGGAGAATTGGTTGAACCTGGGAGGGCAGAGGTTGCAGCAAGCTGAGATCACGCCACTGCACTCTAGCCTGGGTAACAGAGCAAGACTCCATCTCAGAAAAAAAAAAAAAAAAAGCTATATACTTATAAACACCTAAAAGATTCACTTTTTTAGTTTAATTTGCTGCTATAAAAGAAAAATGAATGCTGACCTAGTTATTTTATTTGCCAAAGTTACTGAAAGAGATGGCTAAAAGGCAAATTATTTCTAGGTCAGTATGTCCTTCATCAATAAGTGATGTAGTCTAGCACTATTTCTATTAAGAAGGCCAAAACTAGCCTGACCAACATGGCGAAACCCCAACCCTACTAAAAATACAAAAAATTAAGTCGGTGGTGCATGCCTATAGTCCCAGCTACTCGGGAGGCTGAGATGGGAGAATCACTTGAACTCAAGACACAGAGGTTTCAGTGAGCCGAGATCATGCCACCGCACTCCAGAGTGGGTGAGAGAGCGAGACCTCCTATCTCAAATACAAACAAACAAAAAAAGAAGGCTGAAGCTTTAACAACAACAGACACTTAAACTTTTTCCATAATGTAAAAAAAGTATTATGTGTATTTCCTTAAATAAACTATATTTTAGCCATTTCAACATTTTACAGTTTTAGTGTAAACTGAATTTTTAATAAACTTTAAAACAATGGTATAATCCACCATAATTGAAGATGCTAATCAACTACATCTTCACCTTCCCTCTTTGCTCTACACGGTGGGGCCCAGCTGTGGGAGTGGGGACAACAGACTGCCTCGGACTATCAGCTTTTTCAGCATCACCTCAGCTACAGAGCACCTAGCCTGAGGTCATGCCCCTGAGGCCGCCCATATCCAGTGATAGGGAAGAGAAGGCAGAGGACAGGTCCAGCCATTTCAGCCCAAGGAGACAGCCAAGTGGGGAATACTGTAGGCTCTACTGAGCCAACACCTCGGATTGACATTTTCTTCTGCTTCTTTCTATTTCTTTTCAACAGGTGTTGTACCCTAGTAACATGAATTTTGTGTTTAGATTTGGGTCCCATCCCCAAAATATCTCATTACGTATATGCAAATATTTCAAAGTCTGAAAACAATCCAAAATCCAAAACATTTCTGGTCCCAAGCATTTCAGATAAGGGAGACTGAACCTGTATCAACAGTTTTATCACCAGTGATATTAACCATAATCACAAGGTTATGGTAGTGTTTGCTAGTTTTTTCCACTGTAAAACTGACATCTTTCCCTTTCCATACTCTGTATTTTGGAAGTGAGTCATTAAGTCCAGCTCACAGTTAAGGGGTATTAATCTCTACCTCTTGGAGGGGCATATATTTACATAAATTATTTAGAATTCTACTGTAAGGAAGATTTGTCCCCTCTCCTCCATTTATCCAAAATTTATCATTCATCAATGTTTATCATTCATTTATAACAATATGGACTCATGTATATTTATCTTATACTTTGAGTTACAATCAAATACAGTTGACTCTTGAACAATGTGGGGTTTGGGATGCCAACCCCCCTATGCAGTCACAAATCAGCATATGACTTTTGACTCCCTAAAAACTTAACTAATAGTCTACTCTTGACTGGAAGCATTACTGATAACATAAATAGCCAATTAACACATATTTTGTATGTTATATGTATTATATACCCAACAGGGGTATCCAAGGGAGCAGATAGAGTCATGGGTTCTTAGTTTCTATTTCTGGTTAAGCCAGGAGAAAGCCCCTTCCTCATCCCCCTTTTCCACTTATCATTAGAGACAGAAACTAAAAAAACATGGTTTCAGGCTGCTAAAAGCCTAAAACAACAAAACACAACAACAACAACAACAACAAAGTAAGGTGGGTTGGACAAGCTTAATATACTGCATTCTTACAATAAAGTAAGCTAGAAAAATAAAAAAAGAGGCCGGGCGCAGTGGCTCACACCTGTAATCCCAGCACTTTGGGAGGCTGAGGCAGGTGGATCATGAGGTCAGGAGTTCAAGACCAGCCTGACCAATATGGTAAATGTGTCTCTACTAAAAATACAAAAATTAGCTGGTTGTGGTGGCACACGCCTGTAGTCCCAGCTACTCAGAAGGTTGAGGCAAGAGAATCGCTTGAACCCAGGAGGCGGAGAATGTAGTGAGCCAAGATTGTGCCACTGTACTCCAGCCTGGGCAACAGAATGAGACTCCATCTCATTAAAAAAAAAAAAAAAAAAAAAACAAGGTAGAGAAAAGAAAACGCTATTAAGAAAAAAAAGAGAAAATATATTTACTATTCATTAACTGGAAGTAGATCACCATAAAGGTCTTCCTCCTTAATGTCTTAACATCGAGTAGGCTGAGGAGGAGAAGCAAAAGGAGGAATTGGTCTTGCTGTCTCATGGATGGCAGAGGCAAAAGAAAACCCATATATAAGCGAACCTGTATAGTTCAAAGCAGTGTTGTTCAAGGGTCAACTGTACTATTTAATTTGCTGCTCAAATTGTTCTAGCTTTGACCACTGGGTTCTCTTTAGATTAGCTACTGTGTCCTTTTGACATACCTCATTTCTTTTTTTTTTTGTTGTTAAGTACTACCTTACTTCCTGGCACTACAAGATGTTCCAGGCTCATCATTTTCCCTGCCCCAGCTGCCCCAATCCTAAAACCAGCCATCTATCCAAGGAGCTCTGCTACCCTTTGTTGAAGAATGATACTTAAAAAATAAAATCTGGCACTAGATGTGCTTGTTGCTACTGAGCTGTAAATGCTTCTAGGCCCTCTCAGTGGACAGAGCTATGGAATATATAAAACCTAAGGAATAATATTTGTATTTCTAAGAAACATCAATAGAGCGACCTAAACTTAGTGAGGTGGCCATCAGAAATATTTTTAGTTCTAGAAATTAATAAAATATACTTCATTAGTTTTTTTTTAAACTTTGGAATAAGGGAATATTAATTAGGATATAGACTAAACTGCTATAACAAAAAGATCAAAAAGTAGACTTGAGCAAGACAGAATTCTGTTTCTCGTTCATTTACAAATTCAACAGTGCTATAGTTTGAATGTGTCCTCTAAAAGCTCATGTGTTGGCAACTTGGTGCCCGATGCAACAGTGGTGGGAGGTGGGGGCTCTACCCTCATGAATGGATTAATGCTGTTACCATGGGAGTGGGTTAATTACCATGGAAGTGGCTTTGTTATAAAAGGGAGCTCTCTCTCTTACATATACTTCCTTTTGCCTTCTACCCTTCTGCCAGGGGATGACCCTCATCACATCCTGACACCATGCTCTTGGGCTTCCCAAGTCCCCAGAACTGTAAGAAACAAATTTCTTTTCTTTATAAATTACCCAGTCTGTGGTACCCTGTTATCACAGCAGAAAATAGACTAAAACAATGAATGGCTCAGAACTGCTAAAAGGGCTCAGCCACCTTCAAAACATTTCTGGTCTAAGCTGGCAGCCCAGTTCTCCTGATTTCCCAGCCAATGGGAAGGGACAAAGTGCCAGGACAGCACACATTCCCTTTTAAGGGTATGACCCAGAAGTGGTACATATCACTTCATCCACATCCTACTGTTCACAACTTAGTCACCTGGCCTCTCCAACCTGCAAAAGAGGACAGGAAGTCATGTGCCTGGATAAAATTCAGGAGGTTCTATTACTAAAATAAAGAAGGGGGCCAGGCGCAGTGGCTCACGCCTGTAATCCAACACTTTGAGAGGTCGAGGCAGGTGGATCACCTGAGGTCAGGAGTTCAAGACCAGCCTGGCCAACATGGTGAAACCCTGTCTCTACTAAAAATACAAAATTAGCTGGGCATGGTGGTGCGTGCCTGTAATTCCAGCTACTCAGGAGGCTGAGGCATGAGAATCGCTTGAACCTGGGAGGCAGAGGTTGCAGTGAGCCAAGATTGCACCACTGCACTCCAGCCTGGGCGACAAGAGTAACACTCTGTCTCAAAAACAAAAAGGCGAGGGAGCAGGGAGAATGGATATTGAGGTTCTAAAATTAGCATTCTCTGACAGAGAAAACCCACTTCTGTTTTTATCATAACATTCTGTCTGTGGATTTATTTTTAATACAGCAACAAATAATATGATTAATACTTATTCAAATGGGCTAAAATTTTGTCACAATAATAAATTAAGAATAAGATAGGCCAGGCGCAGTGACTCATGCCTGTAATCTCAACATTTTGGGAGGCTGAGGTGGGCAGATAACTTGAGGTCAGGAGTTCGAGACCAGCCTGGCCAACACGGTGAAACCCCGTCTCTACTAAAAATACAAAAATTAGCAAGGCATGGTGGCACATGCCTGTAATCCCAGCTACTCAGGAGGCTGAGGCAGGAGAATCGTTTGAACCCAGGGAGCAGAGGTTGCAGTGAGCCGAGATCATGTCATAGCACTCCAGTCTGGGTGACAAAGCAAGACTGTCTCAAAAAAAAAAAAAAAAAAAAAAAAAGAGTAAGGTAAATAAGGAATGATAATGTAAGATTACACCCCATAAAATAAAACAGGAATCCATAAGTCCATAATCAAGTAAATAAATACATGGAAAAATAAATGAGAAGAGAAAGCTCTTCCTTACAGTAGAATACCAATTTAAAAAATTATTAAATAATCATGGAATTAGAAAATTACCACTTGGCAATACATAATGCTAACTTATGCAGAGAAGATACATCAATAAATAGTAGGTGGCTCCCGCCTATAATCCAAGCACTTTGGGAGGCCAAGGCAGGAGGATTGCTGGAGGTCAGGAGTTCTAGACCAGCCTGGACAACATAGTGAGACCTCGTATGACAAATTAAAAAACTATCCAGGCACAGTTGCATGCACCTGTAGCCCTAACTAGTGGTAAGGCTGAGGGCTGAGACAGGAGGAATACTGGAGCACAGGAGGCAAAGGCTGCAGAGAGCAATGATCACACCACTGCACTCCAACCAAGGCAACAGAGCAAGACCCTGTCTCTAAGAAGAAATAAATGAATAAATACATACATTTTTTTAAAATGCTAAAACCTCCTCGTTAGTATAGTGGCAAGTAAAAAATAAATAAATAAAAATGTAAAAAGAAAAGAATAAATGCTAAAACCTATGGGTGAAAGTTAGATGACAAACCAGATGGTCTCAAAGTAACTCCCTGTGTTAATCTGTTTTGTGTTGCTGTAAAGGAATACCTGAGGCTTGGTAATTTATAAAGAAAAGATGTTTATTTGGCTCATGGTTCTGCAGGCTGTACAAGCATGTACCTCAGCTACTGATGAAGCCTCAGGAAGCTTATAGTCATGGCAGAAGGGAAGGGAAGCAAGTGGATCACATGGCAAGAAAGGAAACAAAAGAGAAGCCAGGCTCTCTCAGACAAGCTCTCACATGAACTAACAGAGGGACAAGTCACTTATTACTGTGGGGAGGGCACTAGGATATTCATGAGGGGTCTGCTCCCTCCCGTGACCCCAACACCCCCCACCAGGCCCCATCTCCAACAATGGGAATCACATTTCAACAAGAGATACGGAGGGAACAAATACTCAAACCATATCACTTCCTGAAAATGTTTATTAATTACAATGGGAAAAGAGTAGAGTAACTTTACTTGGGGAGAAATCTCACAAACACAAGCTTACTGAATGATCAAATAACATCCCCAGTGACAGGATAAGTGAACATCATGTGCCACCTGAGGGAAGAAGAGTACTACATCATTTCTACAATATGACAGCCAAAATTCTATGACCTGAATCAAATCATGAGGAAACATCAGACAAACTCAAACTGAAGGGCAGTCTCCAAAATAACTAGCCCATAATCTTCAAAAGCATCAAACCCATCAAGGTCAAAAAAGGACTAGGAATTGTTCTGGAATAAAGGAGCCTGAGAGGACATGACAGTGAAATGCCAGGCTTGGATCCCTGTGCTACAAAGGATGTTATGAGGACAAGTTGATAAAGCCTAAACGAGATCTCACGGTGAAGGCTATATGGGAATTCTTCGTACTGTTCTTATGACTTTTACATAGGTTTGAAATTTTTATAAAATAAAAATAAATTTTTGGCCGGGCACAGCAGCTCATGCCTGTAATCCTAGCACTTTGGGAGGCAGAGGCGGGCAGATCACTGGAGGCCAGGAGTTCAAGAGCAGCCTAACCAACATGGTGAAACCTCCATCTCTACTAAAAATACAAAAATTAGCCGGGCATGGTGGTGTATGCCTGTAATCCCAGCTACTCAGAAGGCTGAGGCATAAGAATTGCTTGAACCCCAGAGGTAGAGGTTGCAGCGAGCCCAGATTGTGCCACTGCACTCCAACCTGGGCAACAGAGTAAGACCCTGTGTCAAAAAAAAGTAAAAAAAAAAATCACTTTCATTAATTACTATAGTCCGAATGTGTCCTCCAAAATATATATGTTGAAACTTAATGGCCAATATGAAAGTATTAGGCAGTAGGATGTTTAGGAAATTATTAAGTCCTGAGGGCAGAGCCCTCATAAGCAGGACTTTGGCCCTTATAAAATGGTGTAAAAGGATGGGTTCACTCTCTTCCACTCTTCTGTCGTATGAGAACACCTAGACAGTGCCATCCATGAACAATGAGGCTTTACCAGACACCGAATCTGCCAGCACCTTGATCTTAGACTTTCCAGCCTTTACAACTATGAGAACATGAATTTCAGTACTTTATAAATTACCTAGTCTCAGGTATATTGTTGTAGCAGCACAAACAGACTAAGACATTGACGTTACGAAATCCTACATCTATTGTAAGATTTTCCATTTTTCTTGGTAATAAATTTGCATCATGGATAGTTTAAGAGAAAATGTGTAAAAGAGACTAAATGCTATTGACTCACTGGATAGGAATAAACATTAGCATTAAATGAAGAACGGTACCTGAATATGGATTAATCTTACATGTGGTTAGTTCATTAGTGAATATTTTTTGCATCAGGATGAATTTTACTTCTTTATACAACCCATACCTATGGGGCTGCATATCTTTATTTATTAATTCTTCTATTGTCTCTTTTAATGCTCACCATAAACCTGTAAGTGCCATTATTATTATTATTATTTGAGATGGAGTCTTGCTCTTGTCGCCCAGACTGGAGTGCAATGGCACGATCTCGGCTCACTGCGACCTTTGCCTCCAGGGTTCAAGCGATTCTCCTGCCTCAGCCTCCCGAGTGGCTGGGATTACAGGCACCCACCACCACGCCTGGCTAATTTTTGTATTTTCAGTAGAGACGGGGTTTCACCATGTTGGCCAGGCTGGTCTCAAACTCCTCACCTCATGATCCACCTGCCTTGGCCTCCCAAAGTGGTGGGATCACAGGCGTGAGCCACCGCGCCCAGCCTAAGTGCTGTTATTATTATTAACCTCTTTTACAGATGATGAAAATGAGGTTTGGAGAGGTTAAATACCGAGTTCACAGAGCTGCTAAGTCACAGAGCTGGGCTTTGGAACCAAGAAGTTAAATTATAGAACTTATTCTCTAAACAGTAACAAATTATTTGAGTGAAATGTAAGCCATTTCATTCCTTCATTCATAGCAAACATGTATGCTTACTGATAGCAATAGAGAGTTGGAAGAAGCACACAAATTGCCACATTAATTCTTACCTGTGTCTGCCTCATTGCCCGTTCCACTCGGCGAGTACTTCCTTTCTCAAGTTTTGTCCGGAGGATCAAGGCTGATGTCTGAATGGCCCAGAACTTTGGTTGTGAAAGCAAACACTGATAGAAGCGGGAAGAAAAAAATCATAGAAAAGAGATAAGCTAGGTGATCTCATTCTGAATAGGACAAAATTAATTCTTCCAAAATATCAGGGTACAGTTAAACACAGATTTGAAAATCTTCCCAGTTAACAAAAAGTTCTCTTTTTCTCAATTTGTATTACAGAAATCATTCTAAAACATATGAGAATGCTTTCTGGCATTTGTTAGGGTAGGGAGTTTCCAATTTTAATGAAAATGCATTCCTAGAAGGGGCATCTTAACAAAGACTGGCCTATATCAAAACTGAATATGCACACACTGAAACCTAACCCCAGAGAAAGCTGTGACCACCATTACCCAGAGAACATAGTAGAAATCATCCAATATGATCACAAGTGTAGTGGGAAGCAAAATGAAAGTACTGGATAAGTGAAAACAGGGACAAAATGTACTATGATAAACACTGACTCCTTAGTATAATGAGCACAATGTAAACTCTCTTTGATGACAACTTGGAATCTGATATTGTCTCGGTGATCATTTACAACAATTACTTTCAGTAAAGATTACCACAAATAAAGGAGAAAGACCTGTTTATTTATCTGAAAGTTGATGCCACCCTTGGTCCTTCTCTTGTTTCAAAAAGTCAGGTTTGGAAAACATCTTAGAGTACAATTAATCACTGAAAATCTAGCTACTCATTAGAAGTACCTGGGAAGCTTGGTATTCTAAAAGTATATCAGATCTCTGAGAGCAGGATGTGGGTGTCAGTTTTGGTAGCTGGTTTTTTTTGTTTTTGTTTTTTTTTTTTTTTGAGACAGGATCTCACTCTGTCACTGAGGCTGGAGTGCAGTGGCATGATCATGGCAAGCTACAGCTTCGGCTTCCTGAGCTCATGCAATCCTCCCACCTCAGCTACCCGAGTAGCTTGGACGGCAGGCCTGTACCACCATGCCCGGCTAATTTATTTTATTTTATTTTTTGTAGAGACAGGATCTCGCTATGTTGCCCAGGCTGGCATCAGTGTTTTTTAAAATACCCCCCAGGTAATTCTCAAGCGTAGCCAACTTTAAGAACTATTAGGCTAAGATAAAGTAAGTATTTGTCTTTTATCAAACTCATTCATAACTCCAAACTCTCATTAAAGGTTAGCAAGAAGTCCTTCAGCCTATGACTCCTTACAGTTCATTTCACTCATTTTTATTACCTGCCTGACTCCTATAGGCACTTGAATTTTTAACCTCTAATCTAGACCAACTAACTCTAATATAGACCAACCCCCTTACAATAAGAGGAAAATGAAGCACCAACAGGTTAAATTACCTGCTCAATCTCACACCTCTATTAATAGCAAAAGCTGGTACTAACACTTAGTATCCTAAGTCCCAGAACACCTTTATATTATTTTATAACATTTTCTCTAAATAAACTTGTGCTCATTTAAATAGCTAAATTAAGATATGACTACTTCCTGGACATGGATGATACTACCAAAGAAACATTAGAAAGTAGAGTAATGTAAAAAGAGGACTTGGAGATGGTGAAGGAAGAGGAGTACATCAAGAATACATGAATAAGAGAGAAGAATCAAAAGAACAGAACCTTAGTGAAATTTGTTCATTAACTCACTTGAGCACCTACTCCCTACATGGCAGTGTATACTGGGCCCTAAGGACAGAATAGCAAACAAAACAGACAGGATCCCTGCCCCCATAAAATATATATTCTAATCTTATTCTTCTATAATTAACTTTGCAAATTAAAATATTTTCATCCCCTTGAAATAGTTTACAAGATTTAATGCATAACCTTATCTCGTTGGCCTCCATTAACTTAAATCTACAAAAAGAATGAATTTACCAACATAATAGGTGCATATGGACCTATAAAAATATGAAAGAGAAGACATTAAAAAAACTAATTCTTTAAAATGTACAACACTACTTGTCAGATTTTATTATAAAATGTGATCTCAAGACTTTTCAGGCAGGGCGTGATGGCTCACGCCTGTAATCCCAGCACTTTGGGAGGCTGACGCGGGTGGATCACCTAAGGTCAGGAGTTCGAGACCAACCTGGCCAACGTGATGAAACCCAGTCTTTAATAAAAATACAAAAAAATTAGCCGGGCATGATGGCGAGTGCCTGTGATACCAGCTACTCAGGAGGCTGAGGCAGAAGAATCGCTTGAACCTGGGAGGTGGAGGTTGCAGTGAGCCGAGATTGCACCACTGCACTTCGATCTAGGCAACAAGCGCAAAACTATGTCAAAAAAAAAATTTTTTTTTCAAAGGAAAAGACTTTTCTCATTAGGTAAATCTGCAAAACTGATTCCACTACCCATAACGGGTCACATCACTGCCTTCATTTTCTTTTCATCTTATTAAAGGGATTATCATCTATAATCCCATGACAACAAAATGGAAGAGTACTGAGGAAAAGGCTCTGTAAAACAGTGGGAAAAGTCTGCAGAGTGAAAGATTGAGAGGCATCCCAGCCCCACCAAGTGACCTGGGGAAGTTACTTGACCTCCCTGGGTGTCTCACTTTCCTCCTCTCTAAAATTGGAGGAGCATTCCCATCTCTCACAGAGTTGGGAGCATTAAGTAAGTAAGAATAAGTAAAGCTTAATGGAGCCTATGAGAGTTCCCACTGAAAAGCACATCTGGCCCCTCCAGGAGCTCTCCTCCTCCAGCGTTTACACTCACCCTTAACAGAAAATCCCTCTCCGGAGTGGGCATGGGCAACGGTGCTCACCTTCCAACCACACTGATCATTCTGCTAGCAACAATGGTGCAGTGCACAGACCAGCTCAGCCCATGGGCTTGTCAGAGTTAAAACTCACCTTTAAAAAGGTTGTCCCAAACGCTTGCACAGCAAAGGGATGAAATATCTTCCTTAGATAACAAAGACACACTGTTTTCTACACTGGTATGAGAACAAGAGGCTTGCCTAAGATTTTTATTTGAAGGTCAACCAAAACATTCTCACTAAATACTGAAAATAAGATACAATCTGACAGACATTTGAAAAGCTTTAAAGAAGGAACTAACTGGATAATAGCATCACTGAAGAATGTGATGATGTCTATTTGGCTGGGAGATATAAAGACTTGAGAAAGTCTTTCTGAAAGGGAGCAATTGCACATAGGCTATATTCAATATATTTTATAAAACACTGCTGCCCATGATGAGGTAAGAATTGACCATAATATGGGACATTGGATAAGTAAGAAGAAAACTAAACAGGAAATATGTTGGTTTATGAAGCTCTATTGACTTATTAGAAAATGGCATTTTAAAAAAATTTCAGCAACCAAATGCAATGGAGAGAACACCAATCTAACCTACCTAAGCAGCAGGCCAACCCCAGCTGGTGAGAGCTCAAGCCATAATCTACATAAACACCTGGATAGAGTTAATTCAGAGTCTTCACCACGCCCCCCAGTAGGGGGTTACTGCTCTTAATTCCATTCCATTTAGAACTTGAGAAGTGATCACCCCAATGCCTACAAGGCTGGCTCTGTCTCATTTAGGTCTTGGCCTTAATGCCACTTTGTGAGGGAGCCTTCTCAACCACCTCATCTAAGTGACTCCATCTCTATCCAGTGATTCTTTATAACTGCATCTAGTTTGGTTCCTCCAGGGCAGAAGTCCCAGCTATTTGATTCCTAGTGCCTTACATACTGTTGGGTGCACTGCAAGAAAGGGATAAAAAGAGGGACAAAGAAAGAGACTTTTCTTCTGTCTTCTTTTACAAAGGGACAAGGGCATACAAAGGTGGTTCTTCGGAAACAGAAATGAAAACTAACAGTGACTGGTGCTCATGAAAATCCACCTAATAGATTCTTTTTTGGGGCATTCTCTAGATAGAATTGGGAACATATGCTCCCAAGGACATAATATTGTAAATAATAACTAGTTATCCTGACATAATACTTTTATTACTGTGACCTAGGCAATCTGGGGTTTATATAGGCTTTTGTAATGCAGCTCAGAAACTTAAACACTACTTAAAATATTTTTTCTTTAAGACAACACGTTCCTTGGCCGGGCGCAGTGGCTCACGCCTGTAATCCCAGCACTTTGGGAGGCCGAGGCGGGCGGATCATGAGGTCAGGAGATCGAGACCATCCTGGCTAACATGGTGAAACCCCATCTCTACTAAAAATACAAAAAAATTAGCCAGGCGTGGTGGGGGGCGCCTGTAGTCCCAGCTACTCAGGAGGCTGAGGCAGGAGAATGGCGTGAACCCGGGAGGCGGAGCTTGCAGTGAGCTGAGATCGCGCCACTGCACTCCAGGCTGCGTGACAGAGCGAGACTCCATCTCAAAAAAAAAAAAAAAGACAACATGTTCCAAATGCTAAAAAATAATAATAATAATAATAATAACTTTATGGCTGGGTGAGATGGCTTAACTGTAATCCCAGCACTTCGGGAGGCTGAAGTGGGAGAATCACTTGAGACCAGGAGTTTGAAATCAGTCTGGGCAGCATAGCAAGCCCCTGTCTCTACAAAAAAATTTATCAAATTTGCTGGGTGTGGTGGCATGTGCAGGTAGTTCCAACTACTCAGGAGGCTGAAGTGGAAGGATCACTTGAGTCTGGTCAAGGCTGCAGTGAGCCATGATCACACTACTGCACTCCAGTCTGGGCTGAACAGAGTGAGACCCTGTATCAAAAATAATAATCATAATATTCCATTTGCTTCATGGCAAGTAATAATATAATAAGGTACCAACATAATGTGCTACCATGCTTTGTAAAAATCTACAAATTAAGATTAATTATTACTGGCCAGGCACAGTGGCCACTTTTGGGGCTGAGGCAGGCAGATCACTTGAGGTCAGGAATTCAAGACCAGCCTGGCCAACACAGTGAAACCCCATCTCTATTAAAAATAACAAAAATTAACTGGGCGTGCTAGTGCACACCTACAATTCCAGCCACTCAGGAGGCTGAGGTATGAGAATCGTTTGAACCCAGGAGGGAGAGGTTGCAGTGTGCCAACATCATTCCACTGCACTCCAGCCTGAGTGACAGAGTGAAACTGTCTCCAAAAAAAAAAAAATTCTTTCTTTCCTAAACTAGCTTGAATTCCTCTACCGTCCCAGCCATTATCTATGTGCCCCTGAATAAGCAGGTTAAGCTCTGTGTGACTAAAGATGTCTTATCCATAAAGAGAAAAATGTAGACTAAAAGTTGACCAACCACCTCCAAAATTCTGCAGTAATGAAGGGAAAATAAGTTCATCTTTGTTGAATTTTGGTTATTTTCTATTTTAACATTAAGCTAAATGCAATTATTACAAACTTCACATTTACTGAAATATCTTATAAACACATTTCTTTACTGTTCAGTAAAAGTGTAAGAAAGAAGTACTTAAGAACAGCTAAACTGCTCAGATGCCAAAAATTGGTAAAGATAAAAGAAGATGTTGAAAACCCCAAATTGTGACTCATCAGATTTGGAATGGTGTCTTACATATTGAGAGGTTAAATAAGCACAGAGTTTCAGCCTTGATAATAAGAGGCAATGAGTAACTGAATACATGGACCTAAATATAAGCTGATATAATTTGCTATTACCATAGAATTCTAGCTACCCACTATTTCTTTTTGTTTGTTTTTTTTTTTTGAGACAGGGTCTCACTCTATTGCCCAAGCTAGAGTGCAGTGGTGCAGTCTCGGCTTACTGCAACCCTCACCTCCCAGGCTCAAGTGATTCTCCTGCCTCAGCCTCCTGGGTAACTGGGGCTACAGGCACTTGCCACCACACCTGGCTAATTATTTTAATTTTCTGTAGAGACAGGGTTTCACCCAGGCGGGTCTCGAACTCCTGGGCTCAAGCAATGAGCCCACCTTGGCCTCCCAAAGTGCTAGGATTACAGGTGTGAGCCACCACGCCCATCGGCTACTCACTAATTCTCTGAGTGGAAAACAAAATACATCAAGGAATAACAGGAACTGTAAAACTTTTAGTGACTGCTCTATATTCTGTAGAAGATACTTTATCCTATCTTTGTATGAAAAAAGTAAATCTAGGCATTAGAAAAAATTATCTCCAAATTAAATATAGTATTCCACATGATTTAGCAATTCCATTTCTGGGTCATGCCTGAAAGAATTGAAGTCAGATATTTGCATACCAATATTCATGGCAGCATTATACACATAGCCAAAAGGCAAAAACAACTCAAATGTTTGTGAAGGAATGGATCATAAAATGTGGTATAGGCTGGGCGTGGTGGCTCATGCCTGTAATCCTAGTACTTTCGGAGGCCGAGGCAGGTGGAACACTTAAGGTCAGTAGTTTGAAACCAGCCTGGGCAACATGGTAAAACCCAGTCTCTACTAAAAACACACAAAAAAATTAGCTGGGCGTGATGGTGGGCACCTGGAATCCCAGCTACCCGGGAGGCTGAGGTAGGAGAAGTGCTTGAACCCAGGAGGTGGAGGTTGCAGTGAGCCGAGATTGCACCACTGCACTCCAGTCTGGGCGACAGAGTGAGACTCTGTCTCAAAAAATAAAAAATAAATAAAATAAAATAAAATAAAATAAACAAAAATGTGGTATAGAAACAACAGAGTATCAATCCGCTTTAAAAAGGAATAGCATTCTGATATACACAACACAGATGAACTTTGAGGACACCATGCTGAGTGAAGTCAGTCACAAAAGAACAATTATTTTTTTTTTTTTTTTGAGGTAGAGTCTCGCTCTGTCACCCAGGCTGGAGTGCCAGTGGTGCAATCTTGGCTCACTGCAACCTCCACCTCCCAGGTTCAAGCAATGCTCCTGCCTCAGTCTCCCAAGTAGCTGGGATTACAGGTACATGCCACCACGACCGGCTAATTTTCGTATTTTTATTTGTTTATTTATTTTTACTTTCATAATATTTTATTTTATTTTATTTTATTTTTTGAGATGGAGTTTTACTCTTGTTGCCCAGGCTAGAGTGCGACGGCGCCATCTCGGTTCACTGCAACCTCCACCTCCTGGGTTCAAGGGTTCAAGCGATGGTCCTGCCTCAGCCTACAGAGTAGCTGGGACTACAGGCACCCGCCACCACACCCAGCTTTTTTTTTTTTTTTTTTTTTTTTTTTTTTTGAGATAGAGCCTTGCTCTGTCACCCAGGCTGGAGTGTGGTGGCGCGATCTCAGCTCACTGCAACCTCCGCCTCCAGGGTTTAAGTGATTCTTCTGTCTCAGCCTCCCGAGTAGCTGGGACTGCAGGCACGCACCACCACGCATGGCTACTTTTTGTATTTTTAGTAGAGATGGGGTTTCACCATATTGGCCAGGCTGGTCTTGAACTCCTGACCTCGTGATCTGCCCGCCTCGGTCTCCCAAAGCACTGAGATTACAGGCGTGAGCCACCGTGCCTGGCCTAATTTTTTATATTTTTAGTAGAGATGGCATTTCACCATGTTGGCCAGGCTGGTTTTGAACTCCTGACCTCAGGTGATCCACCCGCCTTGGCCTCCCAAAGTGTTGAGATTACAGGCATAAGTCACCACACCTGGCCTACAAAAGAAAAAATATTTTATGATTCCCCTTAAACAAGGTACCTAGAGTAGTCAAACTCATAGGGCTAGAAAGTAGAATGGTAGTTGCAAGGGCTAAAGGGAGGGGAGAAAGGGAGTTATTGTTTAATGGATACAGAGTTTGGAAAGCTGAAAAAGTTCTGCATATTGATAATACTGATGGTTGCACAACACTGTGAATGTACTTAATGCCACTGAACTGTACCCTTAAAAATGGTTAAGATGGTACATTTTGTGTTATGTATATAAAAAAATATGTATTTTACAAAACCACTACTGTCAAAATCCTTAAAAAGACAGAGCAGGCTGGCCGTAGTGGCTCACACCTGTAATCCCAGCACTTTGGGAGGCCAAGACAGGAGGATTGCTTGAGCCCAGGAGTTTGAGATCAGCCTAAGCAACACAGCAAGACCCTGTCTCTAGAAAAAATAAAAATAAAAAAAAAAACCTGGTGTGGCAGTGCACACCTCTGGTACCAGCTACGTGACAGGCTGAGGCAGGAAGATCGCTTGAGCCTGGGAGGTCCAGGCTGCAGTGAGCTGTGTTCATACCAGTGCACTTCAGCTTGGGCAACAGAGCAAAACCTTGTGGAAAAAAAAAAAAAAAAAGAAATAGGAATCTTACATTCAAATTTTGTGTTGCTAAAAACATAAACAGAACATATAAAGACAGAAATATAATTATGCCCAAAGTAATATTTCATTACTTTTTTAAAGTCACTAATAATTTCTTATTTTTTTTAATAGAGATGGATCTTACAATGTTACCCAGGTTGGTCTCAAACTGCTGGCCTCAAGTGATCCTCCTGTCTTGGCCTCCCAAAGTGCCGGGATTACAGGCATGAGCCACTAGGCCTGGCTACTAATAATATTTTGCATGAAGCATCCAGTATGCATATATACCACGCTCCCAAATTTCAGAATTTTTTTCCCAAAAGCTGGGTTATTTTAGCACATGAAAAGGCTCTGATATGTTTCTGTATAGTTAATTATAGTAAACACTTTAATTTCAATTATTTATTTCTCCCAAAGGACACATTTTTATGAAGATATAAAATACTACATGTTGTTAATTCTTATAATTCATATTTTTATTCCAATAATTCATACTCATTTCTTAGAAATGCTAAGAAAATTTCTGAACAGTTCACTCTAAAACTGGTCCTAAATAACAGAGATTACCAAAAGGCTGACGACTAGAGAGTTAGCCTCTTGTTCTGAGAAAAATGCAGTAACTACTCAACTGCAAAAGCCTCTACAACGGTGGTTCTAACCAGAATTTTATTTGTTCTCGATACAAGTTTGCTGTTTTTGCTGTTTTGTTGTTCATTTTATTTATTAGTTTTATTTAATAAACATTTATATAACACATTCTATGTGCTGTTCAGGCACTAGTCTAAGTGCTTTACAACAGTAATGGTATCTTTTCATAAAAAGAAGTGCTAACTATGGTCCAGCGTACCATTTTTTGTTTTGTTAGCGCTTTACTGTCCTGTGTGACTGTCCTAAGGTCTCAAAGATGTTCTCCTACATTCATCCTCTAAGAGCTTTATAGTTTTGCTTTTCACTTTTATATATTTGATCTATCTGGAATTATGTTTTATATACAGTATGATGTAGGGGTAAGATGCCCATTTTTCCTAGAGGTATATAAATTACCTAGTAATATTTATTGAAAAGTCTATCCTTTCTCACTGTTTTACAACTCCACCTTTGCCATAAATCACATGAACTGTATATGTATGGATCTGTTTCTAGACTACTGGTTGATTTATATTTCCTTGTGTCAAAATGTCTTAATTCTGTGTTTTTAAAGAGCATAAAAATAACTTCAAGAGCTTGTTAAAACACAGAGTTCTTGGCTCCAACCTCAAAGGTTCTGACTGAACAGGGTTTAGGGTGGAGCCGGAGAAATTCCATTTCTAACAAGCTCCCAGGTGACGCTGATGCTGCTGGTCCAGGGACCCCAATTTGATGAGCACTGTCTTAAAATAGGTCTTGCTATCTGACAACAGAAGTCCTCCCCTCCAGCTCTGTTCTTCAAGACTGCCTGAGCTATATCCTTAGTCCTCTGCATTTCCATATGAATTTCAAAGTCAGTTTTAGCTTCACGAAAAAACAACAGAAACAATAAAAACAACAAATTTAAAGTTCTGGGACTTTCTTAAGGATTGTATTAATTATGTAGGTTAATTTGGAAAGACTTGAAATTTTAAAACATGAAGTCACGAACAAGACGTATCACTCCGTTTATTTACATCTTCATTAATTTATCTTAATTATGTTTTATAGATTTTTTTTTTTTTTTGAGACAGAGTCTCACTCTGTTACCCAGGCTGGAGTACAGTAGTGCGATCTCAGCCCATTGCAACCTCCGCTTCCTGGGTTCACACGATTCTCCTGCCTCAGCCTCCCAAGTAGCTGGGATTACAGGCGTTCACCACGACGCCTGGCTAACTTTTTTTTGTATTTTTTGCAGAGACAAGATTTTACCATGTTGGCCAGGCTGGTCTTGAATTCCTGACCTCAAGTGATCTGCTCACCTTGGCCTCCCAAAGTGCTGGGATTACAGGTGTAAACCACCGTGCCCCACCAGATTTTTAGTATAGAGATCTCATAAATCTTTTGATAGGTTTATTCCTAGGAATTTGATGTTTCTTGACACTATTACAAATGCTTTTCTCTTTTTAATTTTTAAAAACTATGGTAAAATACATATAACATAAAATATACCATTTTAACAATTTTTAAACACACAGTTCAGTAATGTTAAGTACATTCACATTGTTGTACAACCAGTCTCCAGAACTACTTTCATCTTGCAGCTGAAACTCTATACCCATTAAACAACTCCCAATCCCCCTTCCCCCAGCCCCCGGCAACCCGTTCTGCTTTTTGGTTCTATGAATTTTGGCTACTCCAGGTACTTCATGTGGAATTACATAGTTGTAAATGCTGTCTTATTTTTAACCATGGATTCTATTAACTGTGGTAATTTGATGAAATATCAGCTCACTAAGTTATAAGTATTTGGTTAAAAATCAAAATGGGTTTGAAAAAGAGCCCTCAGAAAGTTGGTGGATTCAAAAATCCCCGCTTTCATGGCTGGGTGTGGTGGCTCACGCCTATAATCCCAGCACTTTGGGAGGCCGAGATGGGCAGAACACTTGAGCCCAGGAGTTCAAGACCAGCCTGAGCAATATGGGGAGACCTGTCTCTACAAAAAAAAAAAAAAAAAAAAAAAAAACCTAAAAAATTAAAAAAGAATATCCCCACATTCAGAATTAGCACACTGCTGAAAAACCTCATGCCATTTGCAACCATGTACTTATCCATGAGATGGAATTTCCACTTTTACACATCAAAACAAAGGCCAGAAACCACTTACAAATAACATTTGTGTGCCTGTCTTAAGAAAAGTTCTCTCATTTCTTACCTCTCATTGACCAAAATCTATAAAAGGTGACTCATTGAGCCAGTAAACTTTTACAAGTATGTAATCTTTCATGTACTTTTAATATTTTTATGACTGTTGTGAATGTGAAATAAACTCTAGTAATATTTATTTATAGTTATAATATTTTATAAATTAAAGAATCAATTCTCTTCAGCAATTGTTGATAAGGTGTATAAGAGGATATTTTGAGAACAAAAGAGAAGTATTCATCAAAGATTAAGAGATGCAGGCCAGGCGCGGTGGCTCATGCCTGTAATCCCCCCACTTTGGGAGGCTGAGGTGGACTGATCACCTGAGGTCAGGAGTTCAAGACCAGCCTGGGCAACATGATGAAACCCCGTCTCTACTAAAAATACAAAAATTAGCTGGGTGCAGTGGCGTGTGCCTGTAATCCCAGCTACTTGGAAGACTGAGGCAGGAGAATCACTTGAACCTGGGAGGTGGAGGTTGCAGTGAGCCGAGATTGCGCCATTGCACTCCAGCCTGGGCAGAGAAAGACTGTCTCAAAAAAAAAAAAAAAAGTAAATATTCATATGATGACAAGCTATATATGTACCTAAGAAGGACTTACTATTTTATTCAGCTAGCAATTTCCCACTGTATGGGCATTTCCCTCATGCCCCAGAAAAGTAGCAAAGAAAATTCTGTACCATCATCAAAGAGGATCTAGAGTGTCATTTCTATTAAAAACAAATTTCCTTCTCATTCTTGTCACTGCACGTTTCAAATAATCTTCTTCCAAAGGTCACTAGGATCCCTTTAAATGACACACAACCAGGCTACTCCTTTAAACACTGAAGGCGCTTTCAGATAGCTGCTTTTTCCATACATAAATCAAAGCCAGCTCAGAGCTCTCCTGTGCGTGATTGTTTGGCTACACTAAAGCCAAATCGAACGATGCCCACCCAGGTCACACTGATCTTCCAAAGCAAGGAACAAAGAAATACTACAAAAAGCAGAACTATCCCCGCTTTTTAATTATCTACTTAAAAGAGCATTCATTTTTGAAATCAGTACCAAATGACAGTAAGTTTAAAATTCCAAGTTTAATCTATAAATAATTCCCAGTAGAAGTGGAAGAGCAGTCCAAATCCCCTATCCTTGCTAGGTAGGTCATTTAAAAACTTTTTCAAATCTACTTTTCCCTAAGTCTCACTATTACCCTCAACAAAAGGACCCAAATACAACTTACATTCTCCCGTCTCCTTGCCTTTGCTTATGCTATATCACTCCATCTAAACCCTATCTGTTGTTCAAGTTCCAACTCAAGTCCTCCCTTAGTGAACAAAGCCTTCTTTGACTGCTCAGTCCTAAATATTGTCTTCCTTTCTTAGCAACTAGAGGATATCTTTATCTGTGCTATCCATTTGTAGTTTAAAGGGCCTAGTATTGCTAAGTACAGTTTCATAAATTTCTCTGACCTGGGCTAAATTAAAAATTCCATGAAGGCAAGTCCCATGCTTTATGCCTTTATTTTTTCCACAACATCTAGTAGCATGCTTGGCAAATTTTGAGACTCTGGATCTTCTGCCATTAAGCTTTTAAAACTTTCTCTGCTATGCAAATTTTCATATAGGCAGCAAAGACACCAGTGATCAATCTGTTGGTCACTTGGCTTCTTCAAAAAAGAAAAACCTCTGCATTCAGGAGATTTTAAGCAAAATGTTCTATAACAAAACCATGTTTTTTTCTTCATCATTGTTAAAGCAAGCAATGTTACTTGAGGACCTGTTGTACACTGTCTTGATTCAAGTCAGTTTCCAAAAACCTACTCATGATGACCTTAAGCAAGGGCTTACTGTATATCCTTCACCCAGTTCCCCAAATGTTAATATTTTGCCACATGACCAATAGTTTACCTTCCATACCAGATATAGATTCTACTTAAAATAGTATTTACAGACTTAAAATAAATTCTACTAATTACCTATTTTTATATTGATTAACACAAGTTGCTAGAAATCATATATTAATACTTCACTTTATTTCAATTACCTATGCTATTCTATATACAAGTCTCATGTGCTAAGAAATGTTAAGATTTTACATTCATCCTAGCTATCTTTCTATTTGTTATTTCTGTTGACTCTCAATCACAAAAGGGGAAAAATTTCAATTCAACAAATATTTTTTCAATATCAATAATCTGTGTTAAATGCAAAGGGTCAAAAGTACCCCCAACTTGAGCTCTAAACAGTATATTCCCCCCATTAACTTTGGGATTTCTTTTACATGCAGGTTTCCAAAAATATATGGGGAAAACTAGCTTGATTTTGCTTCAGAAAAGCAGTAAACTTCATAACGAATGTGAACACTAAGCAATTTCCTATTGGGAATTTGTTCTACATTTTTTCCACTTAATAATTAGGTAAATTGAATAGTTTGTGTTGTACTTCTGAAACTGGTGGCATAGAATAATCAATATTGAAACCCAAGTCTATATTGATAATCTTAAAATAGTATAGCTCTAAATAAATCTGGTCATGTGAATTCTTCCCTTTAGTGAAGTATATGACAGATGAATAAAACCCATATTCAGTATTGTGACCTGTTTTGACAAATGCATACACCTATATAACCACTATTAAATCAAATTATAGAAATTGTTCATCATCCTAAAATATTCCCTTGCAACATTTTGTAATCAATCTGTGATCTACTTTCTGTCATTACAATGTAGTTTTGCTGTTCTAGAATTTCCATTAAATGGAATCATACAGCCTGGCTTCTTTAACTCACAATAATGTGTCTGAGATTCATCCATGCTGTTGCATTTATCAGTGTTTCATAACTTTTTATTGTTGAGTATTATTTCATGAGAGGGATACATGGCAGTTTATCACTCATTTGTTTTGATGGACATTTGGGTTGTTTCCAGTTTTAAGCTATTATGCATAAAACAGCCACAAGTATTTGTGTACAACTCTTTGTGAGGACATATACTTTCATTTCTCATGGCTAAATACCTGGAGAAGCAATTGATGATTAATTTTATAAGAAAATGCCAACCTGTGTTCCAAAGCAGTTGTGACATTTTGCATTACCACCAGCATTGTATGAGAGTTCTAACTACCCCACAAAGTGTTATGTAAGTCTTTTCAGTAATGTACAGTGGTATCTTGTTGTGGTTTTAATTTGCATTTCTCTGATGACTAATGTTATTACACATCTTTCAAGCTCCTTTTGGCCATGCATATATCTTTGTTCAAGTGTCTGTTCAAATATTTTATCCATATTTAATTGGTTGGTTTCTACTATTGAGTTGAAAGGGGTCTTTATGCTAAGTAAAAGTCTTTTGTGAGATACATGCCGTGTAAATATTTTCTCCTAGTCTATGGCTGGTGTTTTCATTTTCTTAATGTTGTCTTCAAAAAGCAGAAGGTTTTAATGTTAATAAAGTCCAATTTATCACTCTTTTTCTTTTATGGTTCATGCGCTTAGTGTCCTAGCTAAAATTTCTTCACTACCCAATGTTATAACAATTTTACTTGAAGAAAACATAGGAGGAAAATTTTGTAACATTGAGATCAATGATTTAACTTCATGAATGACCTTCACATATAAATTTCTTCTCTGTTTTGTTCTGTGGTCCATGGATAAAATATGCAGTTTAATTGTTTGGTTTACAAACATCTGGAGTTTTTCTACATACGCAGTAGTTATTTATGTCATTTAATTCAATTACAGAAAAAGCTAAGTACTATATGTAATCTATGGAAAAAACTATGTACTATATGTAATCAATTTCTTAATTTATTCATTTATTCTTCATTTATGCAGATTTGTTTTATGTCCCAGTATATGGTCTTGCTGCACTTACCATAAGCATTTGAAAACACCATGTATTCCAAGTGTATTCCATAAACATCAATTCAGTCAAAATGGCTGATGTTGCCATTTATCTATGTATTTACTTGCTGTTTGCCAAGTTGTTCTAACAATTGCTGACAGAGGGGTGTTAAAATATTCAACTATGATTGTGACATTGTCTGTTTTTCAATTTAGTTCTATCCATTTTTGTTTCATGTACTGTGGAGCCATTATTAGATACATACACATTTATAATTACTATGTCTTCCTGATAAATATTCCCTTTATTATTATAAAGTTGTCCTCTCTGTCTCTGGAAATATTCTTTGTAATGAAGCCCATTTTACTTTATAATAATTTAGCAAATCTAGCCTTGTTATACTTACTGTTTTCATGGGATAATATTTTCCATTCATTTATTATCAACCCATCTGAGTCTTTACATTCAAAGTACATCTCTTCTAGGAAGCATATAGTTGTCTCTCGCTTTTTAATTCCATTATCAATCTTTGACTTTTATTTGGAGTATTTATCCATTAGCATTCAATATAATTATTCATAAGGCTTGGTTTAAATATACCATTTTACCCTTTTTTGTTGTTGTTCCATTATGCTGCTTTTCCTGCCTTCTTTTTAGATAATCTGAATATATTTTAGGTTGCCACCTTGACTTCTTACTGGATTTTTAGCCAGATGCCTTTGCATTTTTAAGTGGTTGCTCTAGAATAATAATATCTTTAATTTTTCACAACCTACAATAGTGGAAAATTAATAGAGTAATCCTTCACATAAAATGTAGAAACTTTGCAACCACATAGGATCACTTGTTCACCCTTGAATGCCTTCTAAATATGTTAGAAAATACCAAGAAATGGCCAGGTGCAGTGGCTCATGCCTGTAATCTCAGACTTTGGGAGGCTGAGGTAGGCGGATCACCTGAGGTCAGGAGTTCGAAACTAGCCTGGCCAACACAGTGAAACCCCATCTCTACTAAAAATACGAAAACTAGCTGGGTGTAGTGGTGCATGCCTGTAATCCCAGGTACTCGGGAGGCTGAGGCACAGGAATTGCTTGAACCCAGGAGGTAGAGGTTGCAGTGAGCCAAGATTGTGCCATTGCACTCCAGCCTGGGTGACAGAGTGAGACTCCATCTCACACACACACAAAAGAAACCTAAAAATAAAATCACCCAATGTATTCCCTTCTTCCAAGCAAAAAAGTCATCTCCAGAATCTTTCTGCCTTTGATCATTCCCCAGTATCACCAGGTAGTTGGATTTTTTGTTTTCGCACCTTGCCCACAGTTGATAATTTTTTTCTGCAGAAGGGTAGTTCCAATCAGAACCACTACAGAAGCAGCCGGGCGTGGTGGCTCATGCCTGTAACTCCAGCACTTTGGGAGGCTGAGGCGGGCGGATCACTTGAGCCTGGGAGTTCGAGACCACCCTGAGCAATATGGTAAAACTCTGTCTCTACCCAAACACAAAAAAATCAGCTAGGCGTGGTGGTTCACGCCTGTAGTCCCAGCTACTCAGAAGGCTGAGGCAGGACAAATGCTTGAGCCCAGGAGACAGACGTAAGCTAAGATCGTGCCTTTGCGCTCCAGCCTGGGTAACAGAGTAAGACTACGTCTCAGAAAAAAAGAAACCACTACAGAAGCAGAAGTCCTCCAAATGATTTTAGAATCAGCATGTCAATTTCTGCAAATAAAAAAAAAATGCCTATGGGGATTCTGATTGCTACGGATTTAATTTGAAGCTCAATTTTACAAGAATTGTGAATTCAACATACTGAGCCTTCCGATCCACAGATATGGTAAATCCATTTATTTAGATAATCTTTAATTTCTCTCAACAGTCTTCGTCATTTTCAGCATAGAGGTCTTGCATTTTAGTTGTAATTATTTGTAAATATTTGATTTATTTAAGGCTATTGCAAATGATTTTAAAATTCTTTTCCCAAGTATTGCTAGCAAATATAATTGACTTTTTTATATTGACCTTGTATTCTAAGAACTTGCTTGTTAGTTCTAGTAGCTTTCATGTTCATTCTTAAGAGTTTTTCTATGACATAAACATGTCACCTCTGCATAAAGGTAGTTTATATCCTAATTTCCAATCTATATACCTTTTATTTCTTCATATCTTCTTCTTATCTATTGCACTACTAGGATTCTAGTTCAACTAGAAGACAAGTGAAGAAAGCAGACAATCTTCCCTTTTTTCTGAGCTTAAGGGGGAAAGACTACTTTTCACCAATAATGATTTTAGCTAGATGCACTTAATCAGGTTGATATTCTCTTCTATTCCTAGTTTACTAAGAGTTTTTATAATGAAAGGTGTTGAATTTTGTCAAAGGCTTTTTTGTTTCTATTAAGATAATCATTTGGTTTTTCTCCTTTGCTCTATTAATAAGGTGAACTGCATTGTTTCATATTAAACCAATTTTGTATTCCTGGGATAAACACTATTTGGTCATGATATATTATCCTTTTTATACATTACTGTTTCATATATTTTATCCAATTTTATAGTTGTTGACAATGGAAATTAAAGTCCAGTAACAGTGGGCCAGAAGGGAAATTCTAATAAGCATTAACCTCAAGACATGGTTAACTGTAGAAGACAAAAAAAAAGCGGTCAGTCCCCAGGTCATTTCTAATTTGCAAGATAACTTAACGAACAGGCAGGCTGGGCGCAGTGGCTCATGCCTGCAATCCCAGCACTTCGGGAGGCCAAGAAGTGCAGATCACCTGAGGTCAGGAGTTCAAGAACAGCCTGGCCAACATGGTGAAACCCCATCTGTACTAAAAACACAAAAATTAGCTGGGCATGGTGGTGCGTGCCTGTAATCCCAGCTACTCAGGAGGCTGAGGCAGGAGAATCACTTGAACCGGGAGGCAGGGGTTGCAGCGAGCCAAGATTGCGCCATTGCACTCCACCCTGGGGGACAGAGCAAGACTCCATCTAATAATAAAATTAAAAAAAAAAAAAAAAAAAAAAGGAAAAGGCAAAGCAGAGCAATTAGTTTCAACGAGAAGGTGAAGGTATTTGCAGTTGTTGTTTCCTCTTATTTAATGTCTTTTTTTTTTTTTTGGTTGCTGTCAAGACATTCTGTTTATGTTTTCTTTTCACCAGGCTGACTATGACATGTGTAAGTACAGTTTTGTTCGTTTTATTTTGCTTAAGTCTCACTGTGCTTGTTCCTCTATACTGTGAGGTAATTCTGAAGTAATCAACTCTAGTAATAAAACTATCAAAAGTACAAGCACTAATAGTTATATTGCCTATCTTAATAAATTACAATTAAGAAATGAGTAATTCCCTAGAAGAAAAATGGGTAATCATTTTCATCTATAAAACGGATTAGCAAACTATGTTATGATCATAGATAAGTATTTATTAAATAGCTTTAAAGTCAATAGCAGAAAAAGAAAATACATAAAATATAATGTGTAACTTCCAAAGATCTTTTTCCTTCTTTCATTTACAGAGACCTAGGGGCTTCAGGCAGAGTCAAAAGGCAAGCTGCCAGTATCAATTCACACTCACTTAAACAAACTTTTTTTTTTTTGAAACTTGTTTTTTTAAATTTATTATTATTATACTTTAAGTTTTAGACACATGCACACGTATGTTTATTGCGGCATTATTCACAATAGCAAAGACTTGGAACCAACCCAAATGTCCAACAATGATAGACTGGATTAAGAAAATGTGGCACATATACACCATGGCATACTATGCAGCCATAAAAAATGATGAGTTCATGTCCTTTGTAGGGACATGGATGAAATTGGAAATCATCATTCTCAGTAAACTATCGCAAGAACAAAAAACCAAACAAACTTTTTTCCCCCCGAGTCAGAGTCTCACTCTGTCGTGCAGCCTGGGGTGCAGTGGCGTGACCTCAACTCACTGCAACTTCCGCCTCCCGGGTTCAAGCAATTATCCTGCATCAGCCTCCTGAGTAGCTGGGATTATAGGCGAGCACCACCACGCCCAGCTAATTTTTGTATTTTTTTTTAGCAGAGACAGGGTTTCACCATGTTGGCCAGGCGGGTCACAAACTACTGACCTTGTGATCTGCCCACCTTGGCCTCCCAAAGTGCTGGGATTACAGGCATGAGCTACCCCACCCAGCCTAAACAAACTTTTGCCAAGGAAAACTGAAAAACCTGTATGAATTAACTAAACTGTTCCCATTTTCAACAATAAAAGGAAATTAAAAACATTACTAAATGTCATGACGTGGCTCATCTGAAGGGAAATAATGTAGATAACACAGCTAATTTTAAGTTATCAAGCTGATACAACATAAATGGCTCTCTAAAACAATATGGGTTATTTTTACTCTGACTCAGCTTTCCTGCAACATGCAGATATAATATCTCAGAAATAGCATCACATAACAGCAACCTTAAACAAGTAAAGCTATTCCTCTTAGGACAAGTTTCTGACTTTGCTAAATTAAAACATTTTCCCAGCATATTTCATATATATTTCAACCTGCTGCACCAAAATGAAAACACTGGCAAAAATTTCTCCAAAAAAGAGATTTCACCATCATTCTAGTAAACTTTGGGACAGTTAATCAAAACGGAACAAAATTCAGGACCAAGAGCCATTCATTTATTTATTCAATAAATATTTACCAAACACCAAATAACCACTGTCCCTGTCTCTCCAAGTGCTTACAGACTTCTGGTAGGAGTATTAAGACTTCTATTGGCCGGGCGCGGTGGCTCACCCCTGTAAATCCAGCACTTTGGGAGGCTGGGTGGGTGCATCACCTGAGGTCAGGAGTTCGAGACTAGCCTGGCCAACATAGTGAAACCCCATCTCTACTAAAAATACAAAAATTGGCCTGGTGCAGTGGCTCATGCCTGTAATCCCAGCACTTTGGGAGGCCGAGGCAGGTAGATCACGAGGTCAGGAGATCGAGACCATCCTAGCTAACACAGTGAAACCCCATCTTTACTGAAAAACACAAAAAAATTAGCCAGGTGTGGTGGTGGGCACCTGTAGTCCCAGCTACTCAGGAGGCTGAGGCAGGAGAATGGCATGAACCCGGGAGGCGGAGCTTGCAGTGAGCCGAGATCGCGCCACTGCACTTCAGTCTGGGGTGACACAGCAAGACTCTGTCTCAAAAAAAAAAAAAAAAAAAAAAACAACAATAAAAATTATCCGGGTGTGGTGGCCCATGCCTGTAGTCCCAGCTACTCGGGAAGCTGAGGCAGGAGAATCGCTTGAACCCAGGAGGTGGAGGCTGCAATGAGTTGAGATCGCGCCATTGCATTCCAGCCTGGGCGACAAGAGCAAAACTCCATTTCAAAAAAAAAAAAAAAAAGACTTCTATTATATTTGCTCTTCTATCAACAGAGGAAGACATCTTGTAGCCTCAATAGTTCACAACCCTAGTCCCAGGCCACCAAGCTGCTGCTAGAGCAGGGAAATGGATGCGCAGCAAGAAAAACCCATGCTGTTTCTTTCCTCTCTGTTCCCTTCTCTTCCACATCTATGGCCAATTCCAAGCAGATCTTATCCATTTAGCCTGCTTGAAAATAAGAATGCTTTACTACAAACTAGCATCACTGAATGCTATGAGTGTACCAGCCTCCACCTACTCTGGAGTACTTTCATAGATGTTCTGCAATATGATCCTCAAGTAAAGTCTTCTGTGTTGGGATAGGGGCATTTTCTCTTTCCCCCATTTTACGGAAGAGAAAGATGAAACAGATGGTTATTCCTAGTATCATGCAGTACTACCTAAATTATGGAACCAAGTAAGTGACACAGCTCTTGAATAGACATCAACCCTATTCCAGGGTGTAGGATATATATTTCATTCATTTTCTTATTCTGCATGCATTTATTCACAACAACTATGAGTAAAGCATTGAAGCACTGTCACAACCCTTGTAGAGAGCCTAGAAAAGAACAGAGCCCAGTCTCTAAAACTGAGTTTATAGTCTTGTAAGGAAAAGACATACACACACACACACACACACACACACACACACACACACACACACACATATATATACATATATATAAATAATTATAATATAAGCCAAAATATGAACCTTGCAAAAAGAGAGGCACAAATAAAAGTTCAAGAGCTCAGAAGAAGTGGGGTAGCACCTAGAAGTAGTCCCTCTTGTCTCAGATACAAATGCTCCTCAACATATGATGGAGTTACATCCTGATAAATCCATCATGAGTTGTAAATGTCCTAAGTCAAAATGCATTTAATAACACCTGTCCTACCAAACATCATAGCTTAACTTAGCCTGCCTTAAATACGTTAGCCTACAGTTGGGAAACATCATCTAACACTGAGCCTATTTTATAAAAAAAAAAAAAAAAGCTGAATATCTCATATAATTTACTGAATACTGTACAGAAAGTGAAAAACAGAATGGTCGTATAGGTATTCAAAGTATGGTTTCTACTTGAATATCATTTGCACACCATTGCAAATTCAAAAAATCGCCAAACTTTCATAAGTTGGGGGCTGTTTGTACTCTTTTGGAGTTACATAGGATTTAAATAAAGTTTCTTTCTTCATTGAAACCAGGGACCACTTTTAATTCATCATCTTATCCACTTCGGTATCATGCACAAAGAAGGGACAGGAGGAAGAACTGATAGATGAAGAGCTGACAAGGGCTGACAAGTTTTTCTGGTTTATTTTGTATGTTTCATTTGAGATTAAAAAAATGTCGGGGAGACAGTGCAAAGCCCAAAGTATGTGTGGGGCTCTTAAAAGTCCTCCTCACATAGAAGTTTCTTGCCCTACTTCTCCAATTAAAGATTTACTCGGGATTAACTCATCTCTTTAGAAGAGTTAGGCCAAGCACTGTGAGTCATTGTAATCAAACAGCTTTCCTCCAAAAAGAGGTCGGTCTTCAGGATGGTTCTGATTGTAAGAGGGTGGGAGGAAAGCAGAAAAATCACACAGCATAAAGGCCTGAGCGGAGAAGCACAAAACCTGAATTTATGACCTTCACTGCAAGCTAGGAATGATGAGTTACCCACCATCAGAAGTTACTAATTACTTCACAGGTACCTCACAGTGCAAGGGAAGGAGAATAGGTTAAAGAAAGGAAAAGTTTTAAAGAAAGGGAACCCCCGCCACACACACAAGAAATGCTAAAAAATTAACTGTTTGAATGTAAAAAGAGTGTGCTAGTGTCTTCAGGATAACTGTGGTAATATATATGCTGCAATAAACTGCTTATGGACCAATCCCAAGAAACTGTTACTACTGGCCAGCAGAAACATTTCCTGTCATATGCCACATCGCTGTTTACTTCCATCATCAGAGAAAGCCAAGCATCCAGGTCACCATTCATCACCTAGACACTTGTCCCCATCCAGTCCCTACCCTGACTCAAGCTCACAGCCATTCCAGACCTTCCCTAGCCTTCCCCCATCCCTCATTTCACACAGATCTATGTTCAGTGTCACCCTCCCACTGAGACCTTCCCTGACCACCTTGTCTAAAACAGCTGCGCCCATCCCATTCTTAGTCTCTTAACCTGCTTTATATTTCTCCTCAGCACTTCTGTGAAATAGCTGGTTCTCTCTTTGTCTACTCTGTATTTGACATAAACTCCAGAACAAAAAAGGCTTTATTTACTGCTAAATCCCCAATGACTAGTACAATACCCGTATATATTATTTAGTAGATATATATTAGCTGAATGAATAAATGAAAAGTACATAATATGTTTTTTATATGCCCTTTAAAATTTGTTAACACTTCGTCAATTCCTTTATAGCACATATAATAAATAATGAGGAACATTTCCACAGTTACCTAAAACACACATAATATGATGATACACACCAAAGATTTCTGAGAATACTGAAGTGGGAAAATAAAACACACAACCAGAGGACTCAAACGACTTAACACCTAACCAGTTCAAACAGGGTATGTAGGAAATAGTAACGTGAAAAATTTATATTACAGTACAAAATAAGCTAGCTTTTTTTGTTTTGTTGTGTTTTGTTTTGTTTTGTGTTTGAGGCGGAGTCTTGCTCTCTGTCACCCAGGCTGAAGTGCAGTGTGGCTCACTGCAACCTCCGCCTTCCGGGTTGAGGTGGTTCTCCTTCTCAGCTTCTAGAGTAGCTGGGGTTACAGACATGTACCACCAAGCCCAGGTAATTTTTGTATTTTTGGTAGAGACAGGGTTTCATCATGTCGGCCAGGCTGGTCCGAACCCCTGATCTCAAGTGATCCACCTGCCTCGGCCTCTCAAAGTGCTGGGATTACAGGCATGAGCCACCTCGCCCAACCACAATCTAGCTTTTCTTTCTAGCCAGTAAAAGTATTTTATTTTGCCTTATCTGAAAAATAACAAAGGAAGAAAACAACAGAATTCTAAATGGATTCCCAACTAAGATAATGAAAATGCCTTTGAAAAAATGATATATCTTAAGCAACTTGTATTCATTAAAGAACATATGTATCTTCCTTTCTCCATAAAGCCAAAATATACTGACTGACCCCTTCGTCTGTGACTTTTCTCTTCTTAAAAGCCCTTCTTGATCTAAAATCCTCAAATATCTATTACTCCAGCTTTCCTTTTCACTGCTATTCTTCTCCAACTGTGATCTTTATCTATTAACTTTATTTCCTTACACCATATTCCCTCTGAATTCTCTGTAATGAGGGAACTGTCCAGAGAGTCCACTGAAACTGTCCTAGAAGTAACCAATGCACTCCTAATTGTCCAATCCAGTGGTCTCTTCTCTGTCCACATTTATCTCCGGACTGCTCTAGACTGTTGAACACTGATGAGCACACCATGCTCTTGACATCTTTTTAACCCATGGTCTCCTGGTCCTGCTCCTAGCTTTCTTTTTCACCATGACCATGTAGGCATAGCACTCAATTTAAGAGTTGCAGACTCTTAAATCAGCAGCAAGATACATGTGACTTAGAAACTACAGTGGTAAGATTTTTCTCCACCTTATTTCCTTAGGTGGCAGTGTTTCAACATAAACAATCCAAGGCAAGACCATACCAGAGGAAGTAATTTACCAGGAAAAAAATGAAATGGAAGAGAAAAAGACATTACTCACTGATGTAAATGCCAGAAGCTCCACTTCAGTTAATGTGTGCACTGGGTTATTCTTTTGAAAATTAGTGCTTTAAATTAAGAAAAAAAGGTAAATTAATTATAAGATGCATGTTGTAGCTAATGAAATATAATTTTTAAAAAGCAAAGTAAACTGCTATATTTTATATATTTGAAAGCAGATATTTAAATATTATGGGGGCCGGGCACAGTGGCTCACACCTGTGATCCCAACACTTTGGGAGGCCGAGGCGGGCAGATCACAAGGTCAGGAGATCAAGACCATCCTGGCTAACAAGGTGAAACCCTGTCTCTACTAAAAATACAAAAAATTAGCCTGCCGTGGTGGCAAGTACCTGTAGTCCCAGCTACTCGGGAGGCTGAGGCAGGAGAATGGCGTGAACCCGGGAGGCGGAGCTTGCAGTGAGCCGAGATCGCGACACTGCACTCCAGCCTGGGCAACAGAGCGAGACTCTGTTTCAAAAAAACAAAACAAAACAAAAAATTAAAAAATAAATAAATAAATAAATACTATGGCATTATATACAAATGTAGAGTTTGTCAAAGATATAAGGTATAAAGTATAAAGGTATAAAAATAAAATGCTGACAAATAAAATGCGATTGGTGTACTAAATGTCAACATAATTTATCTTTTTTTTTTTTTTTTTTTTGAGACAGGGCTCACTGTGTCACCCAGGCTGCAGTGCAGTGGCACACACTTGGCTCATTGCAACCTCCACCTCCTGAGTTCAAGGGATCCTCCCAGCTCAGCCTCCTGAGTAACTGGGACTACAGGCGTACGCCACCATTCCCAGCTAATTTTTCTATTTTTGTAGAAATGGAGTTTCACTGTGTTGTCCAGGCTGGTCTTGAACTCCTGGGCTCAAGTGATTGCCCACCGCAGATTCCCAATGTGTTTGGATTACAGGCATGGGCCACTGTGCAGCCAACATAATTTACCCTCCTAGGAAAAAAGAAATTCAATATGTGCCACTCAGCAAAGAAAATGAAAAGAATTATTATGACACCAAGTCTTATTTATTAAACTCATGCCAAAAAAATAAAAATGTTTTTATAACAGCTGTCAAGGAGGCAGAACAATGGGCATTCTTAGATCTTGCTGATCCAGGATCAATTACATTATTGGTAGGATCATTTTAGAAAACAATTTGGGCCGGGCACGGTGGCTCATGCCTGTAATCCCAGCACTTTGGGAGGCTGAGGCAGGCGAATGAATCATGAGGTCAAGAGATCGAGACCATCCTGGCCAACATGGTAAAACCACATCTCTACTAAAAATACAAAAAATTAACTGGGGGTGGTGGCGCACGCCTGTAGTCCCAGCTACTTGGGAGGCTGAGGCAGGAGGATTGCTTGAACTTGTGAGGCGGAGGTTGCAGTGAGCCAAGATTGCGCCATTGCACTCCAGCCTGAGTGACAGAGCAAGACTCCATCTCAAAAAAAAAGAAGAAAACAGTTTGGCACTATTCTTTGTGAACATTCACATATCCTCGACTCAGTACTTCCATCCTAGATAGAGAGACCAGAGGAATTCTTGAACAGATATATCAAGAATGAGATACATAAATATCCATAGCAATATTGTGTATAATAGGAAAAATCTGGAAACAATCCATGCCCAAAAGGAAAACGACAAATTGTTGTATATTCATCCAACAGAATGCTATACTGCAAAGTAAATTGCAGCTACATATAACAACATGCATCACAGGAATACAATAATGAGAGAAAACAAGCAAATCACAGAGGACTATATATTTATTATAAGATACCACTTTTATAAAGCTCAAAAACAAGCAAATTTAAGCAACTGACTTACAAGCATACAAAACATGAAATTAAAATTTTTTTTAAAAGGCAAGAAAATGACAAACATTAGATTCAGCATAACAGTTAACTTTTCACCAGAGTTCTTTTTATTATTAGACTATTCCAAATGGAATATTAAATATTCTTAATATATGAAACATTCCACATATAATAATAATATATATGGAATATATATAAGTGGATATATATATGGAATGTAATTCCAAATATTCCATATATTAATTTAACAAATTTTAAAGGGCATATAAATGTATATAAATATTTCATATATTAAGAATGAAAAGAGGCTAGGCGCAGTGGCTAATGCGTATAATGCCAGCACTTATGGAGGCCAAGGCAGGTGGATCACGAGGTTAGGAGTTCAAGACCAGCCTGGCCAAGATGGTGAAACCCCGTCTCTACTAAAACTACAAAAATTAGCTGGGCATGGTGCCAAGTGCCTATAATCCCAGCTACTCAGGAGACTGAGGCAGAGAACTGCTTGAACCCAGGACGCAGAGGTTGCAGTGAGCCAAGATCGTGCCACTGCACTCCAGCCTGGGCAACAGAGCAAGAATCCATCTCCAAAAAAAAAAAAAAACAGAATGAAAAGAAAACACTGTCTTATAAAATATAACATATCCCTATAATTTTCAATACTGTTTAAGGATTTTATAATGACCATAAATTGTTTATATAATAATTTTTAAATGAACCGATTTTTATTGTTGGAAAAGAAAAAAAATCAATGAAGGGAAGAGGAAAGAACTATGAAATGATTTTATTAAAAACACCTACAAGACAAACACACATGAATGCATACAAGCATTCATACCTCAGGTAGAATGAGGTATAAGAGAGGTGGGGCAAGTTCCAGCATTTGGTCGTCAGGTAAAAATCCAACTCAAGCAGGAGGCCAGTGAACAGCAAGAGTCTAGGGAAGGAGCCTGAAGCTATCCCCACTGTTGTACCAATCTACAATGTATAAGAATTCACCTTCTCAGGCTAGGCACAGTGGCTCACAGCTGTAATCCCAGCACTTTGGGAGGCTGAGGCGGGTAGATCACCTGAGATCAGGAGTTCGAGACCAGCTTGGCCAACATGGTGAAACCCTGTCTCTACTAAAAATACAAAAATTAGATGAGCATGGTGGTGGGCGCCTGTAATCCCAGCTACTCAGGAGGCTGAGGCAAGAAAATCGCTTGAACCTGGGAGTCGGAGGTTGCAGTGAGTCAAGATTGCACCATTGTACTCTAGCCTGGCCAACAAGAGTGAAACTCCGTCTCAAAAAAACAAAACAAAAAAAAAAGAATTCACCTTCTCTAAGTCTCCTTTCCAAACCAACCCAGCCTAACACAATGTCTAAGTCACCTCTTCATGGGGGTTAGCGACCACAGGGATCAGACAGAGATCAGCCAATATAAGAAAATCACTATTTAAAAACCCCACAGTAACTTAGTACATGCAAATCATAAATTCATTACTATTCTAACCACAGGTTTATAAACTGCATCAGATGCACTAAGATTCAGAAAATAAGCAAGTGGTTTCTACCAAACAATGAAGAGTTAAACTGCCGGTGAAATCAATTCTGTGCTTTTATCTGCTCTATATATTGAAATTCCACTGAGATCTTCCTTTGGGAAAAACAAGTATCCAGAAAAGATGAGCATTTTCTGGATTTTTAGTCCTCTCTTAAATGTAAAGTTTACCTCAATATAGCTATAGTTCAGCTGACATAATGCCTGGGAATACATTTATTTGGCATAGTTTAATTTCCTGATGAGATGACAATTATGAACTTGCCAAAATAACATTTTCTTAAGTAACATAAAGAAGAACTCAGAATTTGGGGTCAGTAAAACTTAGATTCACATCCTAATTGCCACTCTGTAATTCTGAAGAAGTCATTTAGCTATTTGAGCCTTGTTTTCCCACCTGAAGAATTGAGAAAAATAACAACGCTTGGTGTTGTTAGACTATTAATGAGGGTTAATGTGAAAGTACATGGTATAATGCCTACCACATACTATTGTTGATAAATGGTTGCTATTCATATTATTAACATACTAAATGTTGTTATGGATTGAACAAGTATTTTTTATGCAGTAAACATAAATTCTGTCACTGGAGGGCCAAGTGCGGTGGCTCACGCCTGTAATCCCAGCACTTTGGGAGGCCGAGGTGGGCGGATTACGAGGTCAGGAGATCAAGACCATCCTGGCTAACACAGTGAAACCCCATATCTACCAAATACATAAAACAAAATTAGCCAGCTGTGGTGGTGGGCGCCTGTAGTCCCAGCTACTCAGGAGGCTGACGCAGAAGAATGGCATGAACCCAGAAGGTGGAGCTTGCAGTGAGCCGAGATCGCGCCACTGCACTCCAGCCTGGGGTGACACAGCGAGACTCTGTCTCAAAAAAAAAAAAAAATTCTGTCACTGGAATAAATAATGTTACAGGAAAATTGCTTTGGCTTTAGAAACAGAACTCTGTATGTGTGATCCATTTTAAAATAAAAAGGAACTGTAGAACTGAATTCAACTTTTATATAAAAGAAAACTTACTATTGCATATATGAAGTAAAATGCTATAAGGTGAACACCAAAGGGTGAGTTCTACTGAATTAAAAGAATAAGATTTTGACTGGGCACGGTGGCTCACCCTCATAATCCCAGCACTTTGGGAGGCTGAGGCGGGCGGATCACCTGAGGTCAGGAGTTCAAGACCAGCCTGGTCAACATGGCAAAACCCCGTCTCTACTAAAAATACAAAAATTAGCCAGGTGTGGTGGCACATGCCTGTAATCCTAGCTACTTGGGAGGCTGAAGCAGGAGAATTGCTTGAACCTGGGAGGCGGAGGTTGCAGTGAGCCGAGATCGCGCCACTGCACTCCAGCCTGGGCGACAGTGCAAGACTCTGTCTCAAAAAAAAAAAAAAGAACAAGATTTTTTCAAATGTTCCCTTTCTTAAGTTGTCCATTACTAATTTAACTGGTATCAATATTATAGCTTTGTGAGGGATTCTATTTTGAATATTAATAAATCTCTTGATGACAAATGGGATATTCATTTAGTCTAAAATTACCTTTCAAAGAATTTGTATTTTTTTGAGACAGAGTTTCACTCTGTCACCCAGGTGGAGTGCAGTGGCGTGATCTCAGCTCACTGCAATCTCTCGGTTCAAGCGATTCTGTCTCAGGCTTCCAAGTAGCTGGGATTACAGGCGCCTGCCACCACACCCAGCTAATTTTTGTATTTTTAGTAGAGACAGGATTTCACCATGTTGGCCAGCCTGGTCTCAAACTCCTGACCTTGGGTGATCCATCCGCTTCGGCTTCCCAAAGTGCTGGCATTACAGGCATAAGACACCGCACCTGGTCAATAAAATGTTAATTACAAAATAAATGAATAACTTTGGAGAAGCCTAGCAAACACCACTTTAATCATGTGATTGAAGTTAACATCACCAGTAGTGGGGCAAACCCAAATCATATTCTACCTGCTAGGATGCAATGAGAATAACAAAACTTCATTTCTCTGACATCCCAGCTAAAAACGCATAAGGTGGCCGGGTGTGGTGGCTCATGCCTGTAATCCCAGCACTCTGGGAGGCCGAGGCGGGCGGATCAGCTGAGGTCAGGAGTTCGAGACCAGCCTGGAAAGCACGGCGAAACCCCATCTCTACTAAAAATACAAAAAAATTAGCCGGGCATGGTGGTGTGCGCCTGTAATCCCAGCTACTCAGGAGGCTGAGGCAAGAGAATCGCTTGAGCCCGTGGGGCGGAGGTTGCAATGAGCCAAGATTGTGCCATTGCACTCCAGCCTAGGCAACAATAGCAAAACTCCATCTTAGGAAAAAAAAAAAAATGCATAAGGTGAATCCAACTATTAAAAAAAAAAAATCAGACAAACTCAAATTGAAGGAAAGTCTAAAAGTAATGGACTTGTAAATTTCAAGTGTCAAGATCATGCAAGTCAAGCAAAAATGAGGAACTATTCCAGACTGACAAAGACTAAAGAGACAAGAAAACTAAATGTAATACATATATTCTAGACTGGATCTTTTCTAAAAGAGAGTATCTGAACAACTAGCAAAATTTGAATGGGGTCTGAGAATTAAATGATAGCAAAGTACCAACATTAATTTTCTGATTTTGATAGCTGTATTGTGACTATGTACAAAAATAACATTATTTGTTGGAAATATACACTAAATTATTCAGGAATGATACAGCATCATCTTGGAAACTTATTCTTAGAAGTTATATGTATTGTCCTGCCCTTAAACATTTTTCACAAATTTGAAATTATTTCTAATCAGAAAAAAAAGTTAAAACTATTTCCACCATAGATAAGGTTCCACAGTATTAAAAAATAATCCTATCCTTTGAAATGTAAATATCCTCAAATCTCAAAATAGTCATTCTCATTTGTCTTTAATATTTTATTAATAATCTATTCCTAGCTAAAGCTAACCAAAGAAATTGTGCTTATAAAGGAAACAGAAGAATAGATATATCAACTCATTGGAGATTTGTAATATCTAACCCTTTAATTGGTTCTCCAAGTATTTCCTCTGATCTTCATAAGCACTACAAAATTCCCTATTCATCCAGAACTCTTGGAACCTCCTTGAATAAAGATTCTCCACACATAAGAGAATCAATATGCAAAGTGTTCAAAGCAGCCAAGTCAGTCATTAACTCACCAGATTCCAAGAATAATAGCGATCTCTTCAGCACACAGATCCGGCATCTGGAACTGTTCACAATCTGCTAACTTTATGTCATTCAGAATGGTGTCATCATTGAGCTCAAGATTCTAGTAGAATACAAAAGAAAATACTTAGACCAAAAATTAAATTTTATTCATTCACCAGAATGGCATGTAATAGATTGCTAGAAAGGATAAAGTTAACTTACCTGTTTGACATATGGTCAATAGGCTATTTCTTGTGAAACACATATTTGGAAACAATTTACCTTCCAGAAATGAAAGATGTGCCATCTATACCTCAAGAATGCACTAACAATGACAATAATAGGGAATAACAGCTATCACTGATTGAGCCAAGTATGCAAAAGCCCCTCTGCAGATAATTTTATATACATTTTTCAAATTCTTCCTCACAACAATCATAGACAATAGGCATTTCTATCCTTATTTACTGATGAAAAAACAAAGAATCAGATACTTGAAGCTCATCCAAGATCACACTCAAAGTATGTGATAGCATCAGGATTCAAAACTGGATCTTTCTATTCTGCCTCTAAATTCTAATCAAAAACATCAACTTCCCAACTCTGTGTCTCAGCAATATAGTGTGATCAGTTGAGAAATTTCTCACAAATAGCTTGTTATCAATGATGGAAATGCCAAACTGTGACAAGCTCATTCTAAAATTTATATGGAAATGCAAATGATCGACAATAACCAAAACAATTTTTAAAAGAATAAAATATGAGGAAGTACTTGATTTCAAGAATTACTATAAAGCCCAGACAGTATAGTACTGGCATAAAGACAGACATATAAAGTGAATGGAATAGAATACAGTTCAAAATTTTAGACCCATGCATATATGATGGATTGATTTTCAATATAGCTACCTAGGTGTTTCAACAGGTAAAGCCTTTCAATAAATGAAATTAGAGAACTTTGGGAGGCCAAGGTGGGAGGAAGCTTGAGGCCAGGAGTTTGAGATCAGCCTGAGTAACACAGCAAGACCCTGTCTCTCCAAAAAATAAGTAAGTGAATGAATGATGTCAGAACAACTGGATATCCATTTGGAAAAAAAAATGACCCTTCACGTTTATCTCAATCATACACAAAAATTAAATCAAAATTAATCACAGACCTTAATATACAAGCTAAAGCTAAAAAAACTTCTAGAAGAAAACATTAAAAAAAACTTTGTAACCCTGAGATGGAAAGGCAGTCAGTCCTTAATTAGGATACAAAAAGTATGAATTATAAGAGAAAAACTTCATAAATTAGACTTCATCAAATTAAAAACTTCTGTTCTCTGAAAACATTGTTAAGACAAAAAGTCAAGCTCCAGATCCAAATATACTGACAAAACATATATCTGAAAAGGGACTTGCATCCAGAATATGGAGAACTCTTAGAACTCAATAAGAAGACAAACAACTCAAATTAAAAATGGGCAAGAGAGGCCAGGCATGGTGGCTCACGCCTGTAATACCAGCACTTTAGGAGGCCAAGGTGGGTGGATCACTTGAGGTCAGGAGTTCGAGACCAGCCTGGCAAACATGGCAAAAACCCCGTCTCTACCAAAAATACAAAAATTAGCCAGGCATGGTGGCGTATACCTGTACTCCCAGCTACTCGGGAGGCTGAGGCAGGAGAATCACTTGAACCCGGGAGGTGGAGGTTGCAGTAAGCTGAGATCATGCCACTGCACTCCAGCCTGGGCAATAGAGCGAGATTCCATTTCAAAAATAAAAAAAGAAGAGAAAAAAAAAAACTTACGTTCACACAAAGACTTACATACATATTTTCTAGGCAGGTTTATTAGTAATACCTGCTAGAAATAACTTAAATGTCCACCAACAGTTCATATTGGTATTTCAACATGGATGAATCTTGAAACCATTAAGCCAGACCAAAAGATTATACACTGTATGATTCCATTTATTGGAAATTCTAGAAAAGACAGATCTAATCTATGACAGCAACTGACTGACTGCAAAGAACTATGGCGGCACTCTTTGGAGAAACTTTTTTTCATTGTGGTGGTGGTGACACGCGTCTAATTGTTAAATCTCAACAAAGTGTAATTTAAAATCGGTATATTTTATATAAATTATTCCTCAATAATCTTGGGTTAAATTTTTTTCTAATTCAACAACAACAAAAAAAGAGGACTTTAGGAGCCAAATGAAGCTAGACAGAAGCCAGGTGCGGTGGCTCATGCCTGTAATCCCAGCACTTTGAGAGGCTGAGGCGGGCGGATCACCCGACGTCAGAAGTTCGAGACCAGCCTGGCCAGCATGGTGAAGCCTCGTCTCTACTAAAAATACAACAACTATCCGGGCGTGGTGGCATGTGGCTGTAGTCTCAGCTACTCGGAGGCTAAGGCAGGCTACAGAATGAGACACCATCTCAAAAAAAATAAAAAATAAAAAAATTAAAATACATATTTTCACATTGTAACATTTCTTTCTTTTCTTTTTTTTTTTTTTTTTTGAGAAAGTCTCACTTAGTCACCTAGGCTGGAGTGCAGTAGCATGATCTCGGCTCACTGCAACCTCCACCTCCTGGGTTCAGGCGATTCTCCTGCCTCAGCCTCCCAAGTAGCTGGAATTACAGGCACACACCACCACGCCCGGATAATCTTTTCTATTTTTAGCAGAGATGGGGTTTCGGCATGTTGGCCAGGTTGGTCTCGAACTCCTGACCTCAAGTGATCCTCCCACCTCGGCCTCCCAAAGTGCTGGGACTACAGGCGTGAGCCACCACACCGGGCCATGTTGTAACATTTCCAATCAGGATATGTTTTGTAATCACTATAAATGGTATAGTAGTGTTCCTTTCCTTTTCCTGAAAAATGGTTATTAAACAGATGGTGTATATTACAATCTAATAATGTGTTTAACACAAGGTAATATGATATATAACCAACTTAACAATTCTCTTCCACCCATTAGAATAAAGCTATGTTTCTATCTAATCCATACCTACAGCATACAACTTGTACTCTCCATCTTCAAGTAGTAATTAACAAAGACCATAAGATTATCTGAATGTATTTTATTTCACATACAAAAGATTAAATTCTGGCCGGTGCAGTGGCTCATGCCTATAATCCCAACAGTTTTGGGAGGCTGAGGAAAGTGGATGGCTTGAGCCCAGAAGTTCGAGACCAGCCTGGGCAACACGGTGAAACCCCATCTCTACCAAAAATACAAAAATTAGCCAGTCTCATAACCTGGTCTCTAAATAGATAAACAGGTAAAATTTATTTTTTATTTATTGATTTATTTTTTTTTTTGAGATGGAGTCTCACTCTGTCGCCCAGCCTGGAGTGCAGTGGCACGATCTCAGCTCACTGCAAGCTCCGCCTCCCGGGTTCACGCCATTCTCCTGCCACAGACTCCGGAGTAGCTGGGACTACAGGCGCCTGCCACCACTCCCAGCTAATTCTTTGTATTTTTAGTAGAGACGGGGTTTCACTGTGTTAGCCAGGATGGTCTCCATCTCCTGACCTCATGATCCGTCCACCTCGGCCTCCCAAAGTGCTGGGATTACAGGCGTGAGCCACCACGCCCAGCCAAAATTTTTAAAATAAAATAATTCTGAAAAAATTTCTGATAGCCACATGTAATATATTAAAAATGTTAACCACATTAACCCTGTAACATGTATTACATGGTGAATCCCAGCACTTTGGGAGGTTGAGGCAAGAAGATTGCTTGAGCCCAGGAGTTTGAAACAAACCTGGGCAATATAGTGAGAACTCATCTCCATTTAAAAATGGAAGGAAGGAAGGAAGGAAGGAAGGAAGGAAGGGAGGGAGGGAGGGAGGGAGGGAGGAAGGGAAGAAAGAAGAAAAGGAGAAAAGAAAAGAAAGAACAAGCAAAAAAACGATTAAAATTCTGTATTAAATGGTACATCATTTTCATACATTTCTCATAATACTCATCATATCCTATTTATCACCAGGAGATAATTTTCTTTTCTTTTTTTTTTTTTTCAAAGGGAGTTTTGCTCTTGTTGCCCAGGCTGGAGTTCAATGATGCAATTGCACTCATTGCTCATTGTAGCCTCCACCTCCTGGGTTCAAGCAATTCTCCTGCCTCAACCTCCCAAGTAGCTGGGATTACAGGCACACACCACCACAACTGGCTAATTTTGTTTTTTTGTTTATTTTCTTTTTTTTGAGACGGAGTCTTGCTCTGTCACCCAGGCTGGAGTGCAGTGGCATGATCTCGGCTCACTGCAAGCTCCGTCTCCCAGATTCACGCCATTCTCCTGCCTCAGCCTCCTGAGTAGCTGGGACTACAGGCACCCGCCACCACGCCCGGTTAATTTTTTTTTTTTGTATTTTTAATAGAGACGGGGTTTCACCATGTTAGCCAGGATGGTCTCAATCTCCTGACCTCGTGCACCCACCTTGGCCTCCCAAAGTGCTGGGATTACAGGCGTGAGCCACTGCACCTGGCCTAATTTTGTATTTTTAATAGAGACAGGGTTTCACCATTTTGGTCAGACTGGGCTCGAACTCCTGACCTCAAGTGATCCACCCACTTCAGCCTCCCAAAGTGCTGGGATTACAGGCATGAGCCACCATGCCAGGTCAATCACTGGGAGATACTTTTCTATAGAACAACTCCACATTAAAAAACAACAAACACAGCCAGGTGTGGTGGCTCACGCCTGTAATCCCAGCACTTTGGGAGGCCGAGACGGGTGGATCACCTGAGGTTGCGAGTTCGAGACCAGCCTGACCAACATGGAGAAACCCTGTCTCTACCAAAAATACAAAATTAGCCGGGCGTGGTGGTGCATGCCTGTAATCCCAGCTACTCGGGAGGCTGAGGCAGGAGAATCGCTTAAACCCAGGAGGCGGAGGATGCATTGAGCCGAGATTACGCCACTACACTCCAGCCTGGGCAATAGAGTGAGACTCCATCTCAAAAAAAAAAAAAAAAAAAAGTAGTTGGGGGTTTCTGGGATCAGAAAACACATGCATAAATACTAAACGGCTTCATGGAAGCAGCTGGAGTGGACTATAATTAGGTAAACTGACCAAGAGTCATAATTCAAACTAAAGAAGAGAATTCACTAGACATGTCAAATAAACATACTAAGGCAACCACCCCCCCAATAATGACAGAGAAACAAAAGGCCGATCACAAAACTAGTGAAAAGGAATTCTGATAATGTTTATATATTTAGAAAAAGCCTAAGAGATTCCAAGAGAAGACAAACATAAGGAAACAAATATGATAGCAGATAGAGAAACTGGTCTACACCCAGTCTGCCTTTCGTATTTCTTCAAGAGGGGTAATACATAACTAACTGCATCATTAATTCATAGTTATTGAATCCTAGAAGAAAAACAGTATTTATCTCTATATACAGGTTAGGAAAAAAAAAACACCAGTTTTTTCTATCACAGGTTAGGAAAAAAAAACACCAGTTAAACACCAGTTCTCCCTGACTCAGCAACCTTTAAAAGGCAAAAGAAAGAATAAAATGAAGTCTGTCCCCAACCCATTCAGTGTTTCTATGGTACTCAGCTATTGAAATTCTTAGACTCAGGTGTTAATTGAATTTAATAACTTAATGTCCTACTTGCCTTGGTTAAATGTTCCTGAGGAGTGGGTGCTGGAGTGAATTCACAATTTGAAAGGACATCCCCTTCCCTTCTTACATCTAGAATCAGTTGTGCCACATAATTTTCCTGGAACCGTGTTCTTTTTCCCAAAGCACCTGAAAAAACAATAAAATTATATCTACTGACTTACCCATGAGATCTACTGTACAGTCATGAAGAGTAATATTTTCAGAGTGCTTTAGAGTTTACAAGGTATTTTCTCCATTTCACATAAGAAAGTCCTGAGGCCCAGCCTCAGGTTTTAAATGACTTATAAAATTAGAAAGCCAACAAGCTCTGGTACCAGGACTCAAACCCAGGATTTCTGCCACTACAGTCCACATACTAATTTTTGCATCAAACTACCACCCTTTAAAAAAAAAAAAAAAAAGTAACACATTGAGTGTTGTAGGTAGAAGAACTATTATTATCTCTTTTTCACAGATGACAGAAACAAAAGTTCTAAAGAATACAGTCATTTGTTCATGATCACAGGGCTTCTCAGCATCAGAACCAGAGCTTAAAGCCAGGATCTTTTGGTTCTATATCAACAGTTTATTACACTATCTGACTTCATGTAAGACCAAAATTTTTTCATTATGTCTCTGAAATAACTTACTGCAGAATAGCTGTTTTCAAACCACTTTAAGAAAAGCAAAAGTTCCAACATCCACTCTCTGGACAAGGTCAGATTACAAAGATCCTTGATTACAAAGACCAGTCTAGAAAGTCTGGATTTTATCCTGTTATGAGTCTGGCTCTAAGTCATACATTAACCTTTTAAATATGTTATGCTGAAGATAGCCACTGAAATTGTTTGATACAGCTTACTTTTTTATTTTATTTTATTTTATTTTTTATGAGATGGAGTCCTGCTCTGTTGCCAGGCTATAGTGCAGTGGTGCGATCTCAGCTCACTGCAACCTCCGACTCCCTGGTTCAAGCAAATCTCCTGCCTCAGCCTCCAGAGTAGCTGGGATTACAGGCATGCACCACCACACCCAGCTAATTTTTGTATTTTTAGTGAGGCGGGTTTTGCCATGTTGGCCAGGATGGTCTCGATCTCCTGACCTCATGATCTGCCCGCCTCAGCCTCCCAAAGTGCTGGGATTACAGGCATGAGTCACAGCACCTGTCACAGTTTATTTTTTATAGGAAGGCTATAGATGAGTGGAAAAAAAGAATAACCTGATTCTCATATTTGTGAACATCACATTTGTATTTCTAAGTTCTTCAACTCTAACTTAGAAAACAAAATATGAAGAACTAGCTAGTAAATATACCAACAATTAAGTATTATGGCATCAATAGTCCCAAAAAAGCCTCCTAGAATCAAAATATTTAAAAACATAACTTCTGAAACTAACCTCACAAGATACATTACATACATTTTCATATACAGACAACTTACACATGGCCATTGTTCCAACTTATACTTGGCCAGTGTTCCAAGTTATAAGCTGGATATTAAACAATTTTGCCCACACACACAATGTAACAAAAGGTAGCTAAGATCCAAGACAAGCCCACAAAATCATATTTATTCATAATATATTGGAAGGATTTTACTGATAGAACTAGCTCTCTAAGAAGCACAGAATGTGGGCTGGGCGTGGTGGCTCACACCTGTAGTCCCAGCACTTCGGGAGGCCAAGGCGGGCGGATCACTTGAGGTCAGGAATTCAAAACCAGCCTGGCCAACATGGTGAAACCACATCCCTACTAAAAATACAAAAAAAAAATAAAAAAAATTAGCCAGGCGTGGTGGTGGGCACCCGTAATCCTAGCTACTAGGGAGGCTCAGGCAGGAGAATTGCTTGAACCCAGGAGGCCAAGGTTGCAGTGAGCCAAGATCACGCCACTGCACTCCAGCCTGGGCGACAGAGCGAGACTCGGTCTCAAAAAAAAAAAAAAAGCAAGATGGAAAGAATAGGTGGGTATTTACAAGAAAGGGCAATGCAGAGAGGCCAAACTTGGTCAGGAAACACCCCTATGGGCCCATCCCCCAAAGGCTCAAAAGTGTGTTTGTGTACTGCCTGGCTGCTATCTATTACTAACACGGCTAAACAGATCAGCGCAATAAATGGAAAACTCTAGAAATAAGGAAAATATATCATTTCAAATTTGTTATAAACTATAAATTTGTAAATAAAACCTTTAAAGTCTACTTTTGTAAAGCAAATAGGATATAGAAAATCTAATACCAACATACAATACAAACTGCCAATGTATATAGTTTTATCATAAAAATAAAATCAATTATCCACAAAAAATAAGTCTTACCTGTCAAATCAATTTGTAATTGGCTGATGTCCTTAGCAATATCCAACTGATCTTTTGCTTTTCTGTACTCATAATAATATAAAAACACATATGCACATTCCAGATGGAATTGAATAGCCAAATATCGACCTGAATCATCTACAAACAGATTCTGTAGTTTCATCACTGCAAGACAAAAGATAAAACATTAAAAGTTATGATGAGAAGAAAAATATATTAATGTGTAAAATAGAGTCTATAATACATAAAGTATATAGTACATAGTCTCTGTTGTTAAATAATTTTAAACATAAGACCTGAGGAATACAGTAACACTAATAGTTACCAGCCAGCATTATCTGAGCACTTATATGCTCCAGACATGAGCTAAGGACATTATGTACACTATCTCCTTTATTCCACACAATCCTGGGAGATATGATTCATAACCTTGCTCTTTCTCAGCGGGTTTGTCTTAACAATGCCAAAAAAAAAAAATAGTGGGGGGACGGGCGCAGTGGCTCACGCCTGTAATCCCTGTACCTTGCGAGGCCGAGGTGGGCGGATCACAAGGTCAGGAGTTCGAGACCAGCCTGACCAACATGGTGAAACCCCATCTCTACTAAAGATACAAAAATTAGCCGGGCATAGTGGCATGCGCCTGTAGTCCCAGCTACTCAGGAGGCTGAGGCAGGAGAATCGCTTCAACCCAAGAGGCAGAGATTGTAGTGAGCTGAGATCGCACCACTGCACTCCAGCCTGAGCGACAGAGCAAGAACCCGTCTCCAAATAAATAAATAAATAAATACATACATACATACATACATACATACATACATACATACATACATAAATAGGGGGTGGCTGTCAAGATGGCCAATAGGAACAGCTCCCGTCTCCAGCTCCCAGCGAAATCAAGGCAGAAGGCAGGTGATTTCTGCATTTCCAACTGAGGTACCAGGCTCATCTCACTGGGACTGGTTAGACAGTGGGTGCAGCCCATGGAGGGCGGGCCAAAGCAGGGCGAGGCGATCACCCGGGAAGCACAAGGGGTCGTGGAACTCTCTCTCCTAGCCAAGGGAAGTCCTGAGGGACTGTGCCATGAGAAATGGTGCATTCTGACCCAGATACTAAGCTTTTCCCGTCTTCTCAACCTGCAGGCCAGGAGATTCCCTCGGGTGCCTACACCACCAGGGCCCTGGGTTTCAAGCACAAAACTGGGCAGCCGTTTGGGCAGACACAAAGCTAGCTGCAGAAGTTTTTTCATACCCCAATGGCTCCTGGAATACCAGCAAGATAGAACCATTCACTCCCCTGGAAAGGGGCCTGAAGCCAGGGAACCAAGTGGTCTAGCTCAGCTGATCCCACCCCCATGAAGCCCAGCAAGCTATGATCCACTGGCTTGAAATTCTCACTGCCAGCACAGCAGTCTGGTCAACCTGGGACACTCGAGCTTGGTGGGGACAGGGGCGTCCACCATTAGTGAGGCTTCAGTAGGTGGTTTTCCCCACACAGTGTAAACAAAGAATCTCTGGACACAGCTAAAGCAGTGTTCAGAGAGAAATTTATAACACTAAATGCTCATAGGAGAAAGCAGGAAAGGTCTAAAATCGACACCCTAACATCACAATTGAAAGAACTAGAGAAGCAAGAGCAAACAAATTCAAAGGCTAGCAGAAGGCAAGAAATATCTAAAATCACAGCAGAACTGAAGGAGATAGAGACACAAAAAACCCTTCCAAAAAAAAATAAACAAATGAATCCAAGAGCTGGTTTTTTGAAAAGGTTAACAAAGTAGATAGACCGCTAGCCAGACTAATAAAGAAGAAAAGAGAGAAGAATCAAATAGGTGCACTAAAAAATGATAAAGGGGATATCACCACTGATCCCACAGAAATACAAACTACCATCAGAGAATACTATAAAAACCTCTATGCAAATAAACTAGAAAATCTAGAAGAAATGGATACATTCCTGGATGCATACACCCTCCCAAGACTAAACCAGGAAGAAGTCAAATCCCTGAATAGACCAATAGCAAGTTCTGAAATTGAGGCAGTAATTTATAGCCTACCAACCAAAAAAAGCCCAGGACCAGACAGATTCACAGCCGAATTCTACCAGAGGTACAAAGAGGAGCTGGTACCATTCCTTCTGAAACTATTCCAATCAATAGAAAAAGAGGGACTCCTCCCTAACTCATTTTATGAGGCCAGCATCATCCTGATACCAAAACCTGGCAGAGACACAACAAAAAAAAGAAAATTTCAGGCCAATATCCCTGATGAACATTGATGCAAAAATCCTCAATAAAATACTGGCAAACTGAATCCAGCAGCACATCAAAAAGCTTATCCACCACAATGAAGTTGGCTTCATCCCCAGGATGCAAGGCTGGTTCAACATATGCAAATTAATAAACATAATCCATCACATAAACAGAACCGTGACAAAAACCATAAGATTATCTCAATAGATGCAGAAAAGGCCTTCAGTAAACTTAAACAGCCCTTCATGCTAAAAACTCTCAATAAACTAGGTATTGATGGAACGGATCTCAAAATAGTAAGAGATATTTATGACAAACCCACAGCCAATATCATACTGAATGGGCAAAAGCTGGAAGCATTTCCTCTGAACACTGGCACAAGACAAGGATGCCCTCCCTCACCATTCCTATTCAACATAGTGTTGGAAGTACTGGCCAGGGCAATCAGTCAAGAGAAAGAAATAAAGGGTATTCAAATAGGAAGAGAGGAAGTCAAATTGTCTCTGTTTGCACATGACATTATCGTATATTTAGAAAACCCCATCGTCTCAGCCCAAAATCTCCTTAAGCTGATAAGCAACTTCAGCAAAGTCTCAGGATACAAAATCAATCTACAAAAATCACATATTCCTATACACCAATAACAGACAAATGGAGAGCCAAATCATGAGTGAACTCCCATTCAAAATTGCTACAAAGAGAATAAAATACCTAGGAACACAACCTACAAGGGATGTAAAGGACCTCTTCAAGGAGAACTACAAACCACTGCTCAAGGAAATAAGAGAGGGCACAAACAAATGGAAAAACATTCCATGCTCATGGATAGGAAGAATCAATATGGTGAAAATGGCCATATTGCCCAAAGTAATTTATAGATTCAATGCTATCCCCATCAAGCTACCATTGACTTTCTTCACAGAATTAGACAAAAACTACTTTAAACTTCATATGGAACCAAAAAGAGCCCGTATAGCCAAGACAATCCTAAGCAAAAAGAACAAAGCTGGAGGCATCACACTACCTGACTTCAAACTATACTGCAAGGCTACAGTAACCAAAACAGCATTGTACTGGTATCAAAACAGATATATAGACCAATGAAACAGAGTAGAGGCCTCAGAAATAACGCCAAACATCTACAATCATTTGATCTTTGACAAACATGACAAAAACAAGCAACAGGGAAAGGATTCCCTATTTAATAAATGGTGTTGGGAAAACTGGCTAGCCATATGCAGAAAACTGAAACTGGACCCCTTCCTTACACCTTATACAAAAATTAACTCAAGATGGATTAAAGACTTAAACGTAAGACCTAAAACCATAAAAATCCTAGAAGAAAACCTAGGCAATACCATTCAGGACATAGGCATGGGCAAAGACTTCATGTCTAAAACACCAAAAGCAATGGCAACGAAAGCCAAAATTGACAAATGAGATCTAATTAAACTAAAGAGCTTCTGTATAGCAAAAGAAACTATCATCAGAGTGAACAGGCAACCTACAGAATGGGAGAAAAGTTTTGCAATCTACCCATCTAACAAAGGGCTAATATCCAGAATCTACAAAGAACTTAAACAAATTTACAAGAAAAACACAACTCCATCAAAAAGTGTCCCCTAGTCCCCCACCCCCCATGATGTTCCCCTCCCTGTGTCCATGTGTTCTCATTGTTCAACTCCCACTTATGAGTGAGAACATGCAGTGTTCGGTTTTCTGTTCCTGTGTTAGTTTGCTGAGAATGATGGTTTCCAGCTTCATCCATGTCCCTGCAAAGGACATGAACTCATCCTTTTTTATAGCCGCATGGTATTCCATGGTGTATATGTGCCACATTTTCTTTATCCAGTCTATCATTGATGGGCATTTGGGTTGAAAGATATGAGCAGACATTTCTCAACAAAAGACATTTATGAAGCCAATAAACATATGAAAAAAAGCTCATCATCACTGGTCATTAGAGAAATGCAAATCCAAACCACAATGAGATACCATCTCATGCCAGTTAGAATGGCGATCATTAAAAAGTCAGGAAACAACAGATGCTGGAGAAGATGTGGAGAAGTAGGAACACTTTTACTCTGTCGGTGGGAATGTAAATTAGTTCAACCATTGTGGAACACAGTGTGGCGATTCTTCAAGGATCTAGAACCAGAATTACCATTTGACCCAGCAATCCCATTACTGGGTATACACCCAAAGGATTATAAATCATTCTGCTATAAAAACACATGCACACATATGTTTACTGCAGCACTGTTCACAATAGCAAAGACTTGGAGTCAACCCAAATGCCCATCAATGATAGACTGGATAAAGAAAATGTGGCACATATACACCATGGAATACCATACGGCTATAAAAAAGGATGAGTTCATGTCCTTTGCAGGGACATGGATGAAGCTGAAAACCATCATTCTCAGCAAACTAACACGGGAACAGAAAACCAAACACTGCATGTTGTCACTCATAAGTAGGAGCTGAACAATGAGAACACATGGACACAGGGAGGAGAACATCATGTGGGGTGGAGGACTAGGATAGCATTAGGAGATATACCTAATGTAGATGATAGGTTGATGGATGCAGCAAACCACCATGGCACGTGCATACCTACTTAACAAACCTGCACGTTCTGCACATGTATCCCAGAACTTAAAGTATAATAAAATAAAAATTAAAAACATGGCAACATAAGGTGTTGATACAAAGTACCATGAATCTGCAACAGTTAAACATATTTTTATGGCGTGAAAATGTACACATCAAAGAAACTGGTTAGAACCAAATATTAAATTGGTAAGATAAAGAAAAAATAGAGTTGTACTTCAATGAGATCCTTAAAAAAAAAAAAAAAAAAAGAGGTAACACCAAAAATCTGATGAAGACGATATCAGTTTACAAGTTTTCTTCAGAGAGAATGTAGAATTTCTCCCTTAAAAGAAAAGGAGGGGCTGGGCATCGTGGCTCACGCTATAATCCAAGTGCTTAGGAAGACCTAGGTGGAAAGATTGCTTGAAGCCAGGAGTTCAAGACAAGCCTGAGCAACATAGAGTGGACTCATCTCAACAAAAAAATAAAAATATTAGTCAGGCATGGTGGAGCATGCCTGTAATTCCAGGTACTCAGGAGGCTGAGACGGGAGGATCATTTGAACCCAAAAGTTCAAGGCTGCAGTGAGTTATGATCATGCCACTGCATTCCAGTCTAGGTGACAGACTGAGACCCTGTCTCTAAAAATAAAAGAAAAGGGGAAACAGATATACATCCATATATCTAATACAATATGAACATCAAATAAGGAATAAGTGAATATTGGCTTGGCAGTCAGATTCTAATTTATTTCACTAAATATCTAAGATGAAAAGAATGGAGGATAATAACCTAGTAAAACAGCATCTGAAATAAAATGACTGTCAAAATTAACTACATATAAAGACAGGCTAGTTGACATACAAGTAACAAGTAACAAGGGTGTCTAACAGGCACCCTTATCCAATTGATCCCCCAAACAGAATTCCCTTCTATAATATCACTGACAAACTATCTCTCACAAATGTTTCCAATATGTGTTAGCCAGCATTTCACAAAACAGCCTACCAGAATGAATACATAATGAATGAATGGAACACAAAGGCTGATGACAGTTTTCCCATCATTCAAGCTAAAAGAGAAGTTATTTTTACTGAATATCTAACTCTGCCTAGGAATGGGTATTTTACATGTTGCGTTATTTAATTCTCACAATGATGTATTGGAGGCTGACATTATCTCCACTTAATTCATTATAAAATTGAGCTCAGGCTGGGCACAGAGCCTCATACCTATAATTCCAGCACTTGGGGAGGCTGAGGTGAGATGATCACTTGAAGCCAGGAATTCAAGACCAGTCTGGGCAACATAGCAAGACCACATCTCCACAATAAATTAGCCAAGCATGGTAATACGCTCCTGTAGTCCCAGATACTGGAGAGGACGAAGTGGGAGGATCTCTTGAGCACAGGAGGTTGAGGTTGCAGTGAGATATTATTACACCACTGCACTCCAGCCTAAGCAACAGAGCAGTCTCTAAAAAAAAATTTTAAATAGGGCCGGGTGCAGTGGCTCATGTCTATAATCCCAGCACTTTGGGAGGCCAAGGTGGTGGATCACCTGAGGTCAGGAGATCGAGACCAGTCTGGCCAACATGGTGAAACCCTGTCTCTACCAAAAATACAAAATTAGCTGGGCGTGCTGGCACGCGCCTGTAATGCCAGCTTCTTGGGAGGCTGAGGCTGGAGAATCACTTGAACCCCGAAGGTGGAGGCTGCAGTGAGCTGAGATAGTGCCATTGCACTCCAGCCTGAGCAAAAAAAGAGTGAAACTCCATCTCAAAAAAAAATTTTTTTTTTAATTTACATTTTAAAAAGAAAAGAAAATTGAGCTCAGCTTACTGACTGGTCACCTCATTAAGTGGCAATGCCAGGATGTGAATCCAAGCTTGTAGGGGAAAGGGGTATGAAAAAGTTTTTAGGGGAAGGATAAAGGTGCAGAGCTGATGCTACAAAAGCCCAATCTACTGTATCACCTATAATCTGGCAGAAACACCTACAGCTAAGAAACAGATACCCCTTTGTCTTTACGTGAACTGAAATTTAAATGGGTCTGAAAAAGAAAGTGTTTCGGTGAAACTCCGTCTCTACTAAAAATACAAAAATTAGCCAGGCATGGTGGCAGGCGCCTGTAGTCCTAGCTGCTCGGGAGGCTGAGGCAGGAGAATGGCGTGAACCCAGGAGGCGGAGCTTGCAGTGAGCCAAGATCATGCCACTGCACTCCAGCTTGGGCGACAGAGAGAGACTCCGTCTCAAAAAAAAAAAAAAAAAAGAAAGACAGTGTTTTTCTACGGTCCATTTAAGAGATTCTCTGGACTCAAAGAGAGTAAGTCAAGATGTACATGTCTCACCTCAGAAGGCACATAGGCATCCTAACGTGAACTTCACTGAGGTGGGCAGACCACGAGGTCAGGAGATCGAGACCATCCTGGCTAACACAGTGAAACCCCGTCTCTACTGAAAATACAAAAAATTAGCCGGGCACGGTGGTGGGCACCTGTAGTCCCAGCTTCTCAGGAGGTTGAAGCAGGAGAATGGCATGAACCTGGGAGGCAGGGCTGGCAGTGAGCCGAAATCGTGCCACTGTACTCCAGCCTGGGCAACAGAGCAAGATTCCGTCTCAAAAAAAAAAAAAAAAAAGAATTGTGCTAGATCTTACTGCAAGGTTTAAGTCCTATTCTTCCCTAAAAATGGGGTAGGGTAGGAAGAGCTAGGTAGCTAAGAAGAGAAGACACACAATCATTATTGAATGATTCAATATGCAGTTAGTTTGATTATAAATTGTGTGCCATTGACCAAAAGTAGCAGAGGGGGAAACCCATAAAGACTGGATAATTGAACAAACCTTATCAGAAGGGTGGGGCCTTAAAAGATGGGTAGAATTTGGCTACAACCTCACACATCAAGTTTGTAAGGTTTACCAAGGAGGGGTCCATGTGTGTCTCATCCACTGGTATAGGCCCAGCACCTATCACAGCTCAAATAATATCCTCGGAGTGAGCAAATATTCTAAAAACCCTTTCGTGGTGATCACCAAGGAGATGAAAATCCAGCATCCTCGTGATCTAGCTCCTTCCCACCTGTAAACCTCATCAGCTGAGACACACACCCTTCACACTCTGCTCCAGGCATTCCAAACTACTGGAATTCCCAAATTCACAAAGATGTTCCAAGTCTCTGTGCCTCTCTTGCACATAGTACATGTCCTTTCCAAGTTCTCTACCTAAAAAATTCCCACCATTCTTTAAGATTCAGTGCAAGTATCAGCCACTTCGTGAAGGTTTCTCTGACCTCCCGGTTCAGAACAATCACATTCTCTCCCTCATTCCTTACTCTGCATTACCTGTTTGTCCTACCTGTATTTTAGTCCTTATCTCACTAAGTTCACTGATATCCACAGCACATAGCGCAGTGTCTGGAACACAGCAAGCACTCAAGAGTTTATTAAATTAAATATCAAACTCAGCAGGAGATAGAAGGCCAAAGATAAAACTGGGACTAATTAAAAATTTCCTCATTAAAAAAAAAAGACATTATGAAATTGGCATTTAGAAAACTCAAGCCAGTACTCAATAGCAGTGTTGTTCAATGCAACTTTCCCTGATGTTGTTGAGCAGTCTACAGCTGCTTGTCCAGATGGTAGCCGTTAGCTACATGTGGCTTCTGAGCACCTGAAATGTGGCTAGTGAAACTGAGGAACTGAATTTGCAATTTCATCTATTTTACTTTATTTGAATTTAAGTAGCCATACATGGCTAGTGGCTACCATATTGAATAGTACAGCTCTAGTTAGCAGAAATACTGCATGAAAGTGACAGAATATAAGATTTTGTAATTAATTTTAAAAGTACTGGGTGACAGATCGAGACTCTGTCTCTCAAAAAAAAAAAAAAGGACTTTGTAGCAATTATTAATCCTAACAATGAAATGAGCTCCTTCTCAAAGTAATCTCTGAAACTGTCCAACAAAAAAGGGGATAATTTTTTAGATGCAAACTTCCAAGAGTCCACCATTGGTATGAGTGAGAAGCTGGACTACAAAACGTCACATTATTTTATACCTGGAAAGAATTCAAAGAATATTTTATAAGGAAGTGAACCTTGGTTTGGAAGTCAAGTGAACTGCTTGAGTTCATACAGGGAATCAGGAACTAAAAGCTAGATTTTAAAATGCTATGTCAGGCTGGGCATGGTGGCTTATGCCTTTAATTCCGCACTTTGGGAGGCCGAGGTGAGAAGATCCCTTGATGCCAGGAGTTCAAGACCAGCCTAAGCAATATAATGAGACTTCTGAATTTTAAATTTCTCTACAGAAAAATTTAAAAAATAGCCAGGCGGGCCAGGCACAGTGGCTCACTCCTGTAATACCAGCACTTTGGGAGGCCAAGGCAAGCAGATCATGAGATCAGACTTCAAGACCAGCTTGGCCAACATGGTGAAACCTCATCTCTGCTAAAAATACAAAAAAAAATTGGCCAGACATGGTGGCGGGCACCCATAGTCCCAGCTGCTTGAGAGGCTGAGGTAGGAGAATCACTTGAACGCAGGAGGCAGAGGTTGAGTTGAGCCGAGGTCACGCCATTGCACTCCAGCCTGGGTGACAGAGTGAAACTCTGTCTCAAAAAAAAAAAGGCCAGACGCAGTGGCTCATGCCTGTAATCCAAGCACTTTGGGGGGCTGAGGAGGATGGATCATTTGAGGTCAGGAGTTGGACACCAGCCTAGCCAACATGGTGAAACCCCATCTCTACTAAAAATATAAAAATTAGCCAGGCATGGTGGTGGGCACCTGTGATCTCAGCTACTTGGGAGGCTGAGGAAGGAGAATCTCATGAACCCGGGAGACAGAGGTTGCAGTGAGCCAAGATCACGCCATTACACTCCAGCCTGGGCAACAGAGCGAGACTCCATCTCAAAAAAAAAAAAAAAATTAGCCATGTATGGTGGCAAGCGCCTATACTCCCACCCATTCAGAAGGCTAAGGTAGGAGGATCACTTGAGCCCAGGATTTCAAAGTTGCAGTGAGTCTAGATCGCATCACTGCACTCCAGCACGGATGACAGAGCAAGACCCTGCCTCAAAAAAATAATAACAACATGAAATGCTATACCCTGTTAATCATCTTAATTGTGATGATTTCACAGGTGTATGCATATACAAAATGTCACAAATTGTACACCTTAAATATGAGATCTTATTATAGGTTAATTAAACTTGAAAAAAAAGCTGTTTTTTAAAAGGCACACTATATCCACTACTATACCATCTTTGGCTCTACCTCATAGTTGTTAGGAATAAGCTAGTTAATATAATTAAAGACTTCAAAGACTGCTTGATGTGGTGTATACACTATAGAAATGTTAGCTGCATTATCATTAGTTACTAGAATTCTGCCTTACTGACCAGCTTGCAAAAAGCAAGGGAAAGTGTCAGCAGGACTTGGAGTCAGAAACGCCACATCATTGTGCTGGTTCTTGGGCAACTTCTGTAAGTCTCAATTCTTCGTAAAATGATTTAACTAGACAAGATTATCTCTAAAGGGCCTTTCCAAACTAAAGATTTCAGATTAGGATAAAAGCTGTAGATATGGAAAAGACAGATCAATATGGGACCCTTGGGGAAGAACTGGTAAGATTTAAGAACTGGCTAGAAACGCAGAATGGTGGAAAGCAATGAGTCAACAATGGAAGCAAAGTTTTGAGCTTTGAAGATAGATAACTCAAGGTTTACATTAGGCATATATTATTATTTTAATAAATCAGGAGGTTCTCCCTGGAAATGAATATTTGTGACCTTCTGGATCAAAATGTCACCCACACTTAAAATGTATGCTAAAACCAAAATCTCTTCTCACGAGATTATTTAAATGCTATGCTAAAATGAAATCCTTAATGGACAATTATAATTACAGACAATGACATTTAGTACATTCAATAACATTTATTCCAAAGTATCAAATTTATGAAAAGAAATCAACGTACGCACGTATGCATCAGTCACCAAAAGACTGTTTTTTTTTTGTTTTTTTTTTTTTGAGATGGAGTCTCACTCTGTCATCCAGGCTGTAGTGCAGTGGTGTAATCTCGGCTCACTGTAACCTCTACCTCCCAGGTTCAAGAGATTCTCCTACCTCAACCTCCTGAGTAGCTGGGATTACAGGCACACACCACAATGTCCGGCTAATTTTTATGTTTTTAGTAGAGACAGGGTTTCACCATGTTGGCCAGGCTGGTCTTGAACTCTTGACCTCAGGTGATCCACTGCGTCAGCCTCCCAAAGTGCTGGGATTACAGGCATGAGCCACCGTGGAGACTGTTTTTTTGAACACTCTTTCAACGTGGAAACAACCTAATCCCAGAGTCACAGAGCTGCCTGAAATGTCACAGCAGGACTTGATGACAAAGTATTTTAACCCAGTTTCTCTTAGCGACTTCATGAGGTCTTCTTCAAACAGCTAAAGTGCAATATTACATCTCATGCACTATACATAACATGTTTTCAGCACTGGATGCCATGATCAATTGTTGTATGCCCTGAATAGTCTTTAGAGAAGCATGCTTTCATTTAGTGTGACATCCAAAAGAATGCTTTAGATTGTACTGAGGAATAGATTCTGACCTACTCCTATTATAGATGTAATCAGCCCAGCAAAGTTATGTTGACATTTTGATAGACTCCATTCCACTGTATTATACTGGTGTAACACGCCTGGACAAAAACCTAAATATCATAGTTGTTCATAAAATCCTTTGCCTATGTTTCATAGAACGAAAAAAAAAATCCTGCCAACTTTCTGATGATCCTTCAAGGGCAACATTTCAAATATAATACCCTTCTCTGGACGCTGAATCGTATTTCAGTTATTACATTTGGATCAAATCCCAGAACAAAACATTTTAAAAATGAAATCATGCATGAAAAGTTATAATTCAGCACTATCTACGAATCTATTTAGACCTAGCCAAAATGGACCATTTTATGACTAGATAAACTGAAAAGTGCCGTTGATTAGCCTAGAACAGCAACATAAAAAATTCTTAGTTGCAAGGTAAAGCAAATGACATGCTGAAATATAATATAGAAAAGAACTGAGACCTCTTTGGGAATGAGTCACTTAGAGTCACATTTTCCAGCTATCTTAGTTTCTGGTTTGGAACTTAATTTTAACTCATAAAATAGAATCCTCTCCAAAATATACCATATGGTTCCTACCTTTTATTTTATTTTATTTTTATTTATTTATTTATATATTTTTTTGAGATGGAGTCTTGCCCTGTCGCCCAGGCCAGAGTGCAATGACGCGATCTCAGCTCACTGCAACCTCCGCCTCCTGGGTTCACACCATTCTCCTGCCTCAGCCTCCTGAGTAGCTGAGATTACAGGTGCCCACCACCATGCCCAGCTAATTTTTGTATTTTAGTACAGACAGGGTTTCACCATGTTGGCCAGACTGGTCTCGAACTCCTGACCTCGTGATCTACCTGCCTCGACCTCCCAAAGTGCTGGGATTACAGGCATGAGCCAACGCGCCTGGCCCGGCTCCTACCTTTTAAAAAGATACATAAGCATACAAGGATATTGGTATGAGAGGGTCAGGTTCCAGAACCAATCCCCCTTGGATACCAAGGGATGACTTACAATGTTTATGCTCACATCTAACAGGCCCCCTGCTAGACCCCCAGGCTTATGTTACCTAAAAATGTTGAAAGAATATAAACTAAGTCCTGGAACAAACAACATAAATGAATCAATTATTATACTGATTGAATAATACTTTCATTATTATCTCTATTTGAATTATGTATAGATGGTCATTTTATCTAAGATTAGCATATGTTTATGTATTTCTGTCCTAGAATAAAATAAAAACTGAGAAATTAGTTTCAACCACTCACCTGGCTTAGGAATATTTATGACTAAACAAGCTATAGTCCTCTCCACTGTATTCTGGCCTAGCTTGTTACTGTAAAAACTCTTGAAGGACGCCGGGCGCAGTGGCTCGAGCCTGTAATCCCAACACTCTGGGAGGCCAAGGCGGGCTGATACCTGAGGTCGGGAGTTCAAGACAAGCCTGACCAACATGGAGAAACCCCATGTCTACTAAAAATACAAAATTAGCCAGGCGTGGTGGCACATGCCTGTAATCCCAGCTACTCAGGAGGCTGAGGCAGGAGAATTGTTTGAACCCGGGAGGCGGAGGTTGCAGTGAGCCGAGATTGCGCCATTGCACTCCAGCCTGGATGACAGAGTGAAACTCTGTCTCAAAAATAACTCTTGAAGGAAACAGACCCCCAAAAGGTACAAGAGCCCCTTATATTATACATGCACACACATGAGAGTTATGTTATACCTTCATGAATGTGCTACCTCCATCAAGTACAGATCACTTTTCTCCACATAGAATGATGCTAACTACCACTCCTCATGTCCCTTGGACACACACATACATATTCATTCCATACTGTTGGATCTGAAAGGAGTCTGGGCTTTGGAACCAGACACAGCTAAAATCAAATCCCGTCTCTGTAACTCAAAAACTCATGGTCAAGTCCAAGTTCATTTACGTTCACATATTCCTTCACCACAAGAGAATCTGTTTTTGTTTTTGTTTTGTGTGGCAACTTTTGCCAAAAAAAAAATCCCCAAAACCAGGAAGACTGGAAACCAAGTATTAAGGCACCTAAGATTCTCCTCTTTTCCAAAGTCTTTCCCTAGGATACAGGAGGAATATCTGCAACAAAGGCAGCAGGAGGCACTTACATGGATGTTTGGCTTATAATTATTTGGCAAATTTTTCATTTAGGTTTTAGGTATTTTTCTGCATGTATATTATATGTTACAAAAAATACTAATAAAATGAAATGCAAAATAGCCTCCCTACCCATTGTTAACTTCAGTGAAACTTATTTTCTATCAACTGTTTTCTTACGCTTTTCTTGATGTACTCAATAGGATATAGGATAATTTCTTATTCTTTGTGTAATTTAACATAATTTACTCCAGCTCAAGTTAGTTAAGGACTTTTTTTAAAAAAAGAACTAAGGAGAGTACATCTGTTTCCAATGAGGCTTCTTAAAGAACAGAGAAAATATTAAAATATCTTTAAACAATTTGAGATAAAATCATGGTGACCTACATAGAGCAAATCACCCTAAGTAGGTTAAGTAAGTGAAAGTAGTTATCTTTTTTAAACTAAAAAGACTAAAAGGAACTCTATAATCTGACAACATAACAACTTGTGATATTCTACACCAAAAAAAAAAAAAAAAAAAAAGAAACAACTCAAAACGAAAAGGCACTACTACCGGACAAAAAATAAACTAAAAAGGAGTATCTCAGCCAAGTAATTAGAACTGAGCTACATGCCCATATCAAACAAAAATCTGCTACATACCTTGATCAATACAGTTTTCGGCAAGAGTAAAAAGCAGAGGTGAGCGTTCCTCAAGCAAATGCTGATGAATATTCACACATCTCAAAGTCCACCATGGCAAGCTCTAGGAAAAAACACCACGTAAGCTGAAATAAAAGGATACTTTAGAAAACTCTTTTTACATTAACTGAGATTTTTAGAATTTTTTTACATTCATAAAATTAAATTTATTCCTCAATAAGATTACCCATCCACTACTCTCTTCAGTAATAATACCAAAACCCACATCTGTGTCTTCCATAAGAATAACACCTCACCTCCATCCTCTCAAACCTGTATTTTTTTTTTAGCCACTTGGACTTCCTTATGCCATTTTGAACTTACCAACTCCTCCTTTAAAATATATGTTGTGGCCGGGTGCGATGGCTCACACCTGTAATCCCAACACTTTGGGAGGCCGAGGCGGGCAGATCACAAGGTCAGGAGTTCAAGACCAGCCTGGCCAACATGGTGAAACCCTGCCTCTATTAAAAATATAAAAATTAGCTGGGCGTGGTGGCAGGCGCCTGTAGTCCCAGCTACTCGGGAGACTTGAGGCAGGAGAATTGCTTAAACCTGGGAGGCAGAGGTTGCAGTGAGCCGAGGATGCACCATTGCACTCTAGCCTGGGCAACACAGCGAGACCCTGTCTCAAAAAAAAAAAAAAAAATGTTGTATTCATCCTGCTCTGTGGCACTCTATCACCACTTTAATCCGAGTACCAACTCCTTCAGAGGCCCCACAAGAACCCCCTGTGGGGGTGATTTTTCCATCACCTGAACTTCCAGCACATTATCTGTAATTCCCTTGCAAACACATTCCACTGTATTTTATGTATGTCATCTCAGGTTCCAATGTTGTTCACCGTCTACTACCCAACAAGGTAAGAAATCATGTCTTATTCATCTCTATATCCTCCTCAAAGCAATGTATTTTACATAATCTACACAGTAAGAAATACCTTGGATTCAGATGTTCCCCCAATCTGAGAAGATTGCTTCCACACCTGTATGAAACCTCTTCCTTACAGTCTTCTCCTGCTAGTGTGGCACATACTGATCTTTCACTTCTTTGAACTTCTACACTGTTCCTAGAAGTTGGCATCATATTGGACAGCACCTGTTTTTCAAGTTTATAACTCTATTTGAGCCATACATTTCTGAGGGCAGAAACTGCTTTTTTTTATTTTTTATTTTATTTTTTTGAGGCAAGGTCTGACTCTGTCGCCCAGGCTGGAGTGCAGTGGCATGATCACAGCTCACTGCAGCCTGGACCTCCTCAGGCTCACGTGATCCTCCCACTTCAGCTTCCTGAGTTGCTAGGACTACTGGCCATGTCACCATGCCCAGCTAATTTTTGTATTTTTTGGTAGAGATGGGGTTTTGCCATGTTGCCCAGGTTGGTCTCCAACTCCTGGGCTCAAGTGATCCACCCACCTTGGCCTCCCAAAGTGCTGGGATTACAGATGTGAGGCACTGCACCCAGTAGGAAACTGGATTTTAGACATTGTCTTGACTAATGCACAAGCTGAGCATATAGTAGCTTTTTCTTTTATTCGCTGATGCTTTTTCTTACTTGATCAACATATATTTACTTAAAAAAAATAAAAACAAGGAACAACAAGCCAATATAAAAGTATGGCCAGGTATGGTACCTCACACCTATAATCCCAGCTACTCAGGAGGCTGAAATGAGAAGATCACTCGAGGCTAGGAGTTTGAGACCAGGTGGGCAACACTGTAAGACTAAGTCTGTTTTAAAAAAAAAAAAAAAAAAAAAGGGGGGGTGCCAGGTGCAGTGGTTCACACCTGTAGTCCTAGCACTATGGGAGGCCGAGGTGGGGCTGATCACCTGAGGTCAGGAGTTCAAGAGCAGCCTGGCTAACATGATGAAACCCGGTTCCTACTAAAAATACGAAAAATTAGCCAGGTGTGGTGGCATGCGCCTGTAATCCCAGCTACTCGGGAGGTTGAAGCAGGAGAATCACTTGAACCCAGGAGGCGGAGGTTGCAGTGAGCCAAGATTGCACCACTGCACTCCAGCTTGGGCAACAAGAGTGAAACTCCGTCTCAAAAAAAAAAGTATATACGGTGAAGAGTGAAAATCTCTCTTCCACAGCCCCAATATCATCCTCCTCCAGCGGAAAAAATCAGTGACAAAGGTTTACATTCCTCCAGAGCTTCCTCTATGTATGTGCATGTGTGTATATGTACATGTGTACAAGTTATGATAAGTAATTTTGATAAGCTCATTATAAATTATTTGTAACTATATTACTTTACATTATATTACATGAAAGTCTAACAATTAGTTTTCCTTTTAGTTACCTGCAAATATGAGATGACAATTACCAAAAAGCTTTTTTTTGAGATGGGGTCTCAGTACACTGTCCAGGTTGGAGTGCAGTGGCTATTTACAGGAGTCATCATAGCACACTGCAGCTTTGAACTCCTGGACTCAAGCCATCCTCCTGCCTCAGATTTCTAAGTACCTGGGACGACAGGTATATGCCACAGCACCTGGCTCCAAAGAACTTTTTTGCTTGAACTTAATTTCTTCATTTGACTAAGACGTTCCCTTCTAAACTGCTACACACCATAGCCTGGTTCGCTTCTAAAGTGTTATACACCACAACTACTACAACCGTGATGCAACCACAAATGAATTTTGACTCCATGACAAAATCCTTTCAAATTAATACTGTTTCCTCAGTCCATGTAAGGAAATATAAAATTATCTAATAGCAAAGAAATTTCAGACAGTTTTTAACTGAATTCCCTGAGGTGTTGCGTCATTTTCATTCTTTTCCTATCACTATAGCATGAAGTCAGTTTACATCTCAATTATCTGTCCCTTATCTGCTGTCAGCAATAAGTGAGTCAGGTCTGGCAGCTTATTCTTTTACTTTTCTAGACATGGGAATTTAGATACATCCAGTCAAAAAGATTTCACTTTTAAGAAAACACATAATACAAGGCCAGGCACGGTGGCTCACACTTGCAATCCCAGCACTTTGGGTAGCAGGAAGCTCACTTGAGGCCATAAATTCAAGACCAGCCTGGGCAACACAGAGAGACCCCATTTCTACAAAAATTGTTTTTTAGGTAGCTGAGTGTGGTGGTGCGTATCTGTAAACCTAGCTACTCAGGAGTTTAAGGTTATAGTCAGCTGTGATCACACCACTGTACTCCAGGTTGGGCAACAGAGAAGAGACTCTGACTCTAAAAAAAAAAAAACAAAAAACAAACAAAAAAAAACATATAATATGCTGAACTCTCAAAAATCAGATCTATAAATTAACTCTCAAACCAAAAATCTTTATATGGGGGAGGGAAGAATAAAACAAATATAGAGGCCGGGCGCGGTGGCTCATGCCTGTAATCTCAGCACTTTGGGAGGCTGAGGCAGGCGGATCACAAGGTCAGGAGATCAAGACCTTCCTGGCCAACACAATGAAATCCCATCTCTACTAATAATACAAAAAATTAGCTGGGCGTACTGGTGGGAGCCTGTAGTCCCAGCTACTTGGGGGGCTGAGGCAGGAGAATGGCATGAACCCGGAAGGTGGAGCTTGCAGTGAGCAGAGATCGCGCCACTGCACTCCAGCCTGGGAGACAGACAGAGTGAGAGTCGGTCTCCAAAAAAAAAAAAAAAAAAACCAAATATAGAAAGCATAGCCTATTTTTCTACTAGTCAGTGTAACAGACCTTTTCAGTTTGTCAAGAATTGCTTAATATAAAAATAGAGGGCTGGCACAGTAGCTTATGCCTGTTAATCCCAGCACTTTGGGAAGCCAAGGTAGGAAGATCACTTGAAGCCACGAGTTTCAGACAAGCCTGGGCAATGCAGTGAGATCCCATCTCTACAAAAATAAAACTTAAAAAATTGAGCCAGGCATGGTGGCTCACACCTGTAATCCCAGCACTGTGGGAGGCCAAGGCAGGTGGATCACGAGGTCAGGAGATCGAGACCATCTGGGCTAACATGGTGAAACCCCGTCTCTACTAAAAATGCAAAAAATTAGCTGCACATGGTGGTGGGCGCCTGTAGTCCCAGCTCCTCGGGAGGCTGAGGCAGGAGAATCGCGTGAACCCAGGAGGCAGAGGTTGCAGGGAGCCAAGATTGCACCACTGCACTCCAGCCTGGGCGACAGAGCGAGACTCCATCTCAAAAAAAAAAATTAAAATTGAAAATTGAGGCCGGGCACTGTGGCTCACACCTGTAATCCCAGCACTTTGGGAGGCTGAGGCAAGCAGATCATTGAGGTCAGGAGTTCGAGACCAGCCTGACCAACATGGTGAAAATCCATCTCTCCGAAAAATACAAAAAAAATTAGCCGGGCCTGGTGGTGCATACCTGTAGTCCCAGCTACTTGGGAGGCTGAGGCAGGAGAATCACTTGAACCCGGGAGGCGGAGGTTGCACTGAGCTGAGATCACGCCACTGCACTCCAGCCTGGGCGACAGAGTAAAACTCTGTCTCAAAAAAATAAAAAAAGAAAGAAAAAATTGGGGGGAGGCGGGAGGGATAGCATTAGGAGATATATCTAATGCTAAATGACGAGTTAATGGGTACAGCACACCAACATGGCACATGTATACATATATAACAAACCTGCACATTGTGCACATGTACCCTAAAACTTAAAGCATAATAATAATACAATTTTAAAAAAAGAAACAAAGAAAGAAAAAATTGAGGCATTAATAAAAAAGTGAACTTGAGGTCTTGCTTTAGATAATTTCTAGATTTTATCTCCTGATTATAACACTTATTACAGAATGGTCTGACTGAGAAGTCACAATAGTTTAGAACCTCCCAGACAGCAGGGAGCAGTAGTATACTCACAAGACACCAAATAAATATTTGCCAGTTTATCCCATTTTATAAATGGAAACTGATATTCAGAGAAATTAACTAGCATAAGGTCACATAGCTGTTGATTTCAAAACCAAGACTCATTTTACTCAACCACTTACATAGTACCAATTCTAGTCTATATACTTCACAGATTAGGGGTTGTGGGAAAATCTGCTTCTTCTATAATTTCACAAAAATAATATCATCATAAATAACTTGATACATTTCTTGGAGTCAGGTTACTCAAAAATTAATTTAAAAGGTTAAAATTAACTTGGATAAGTATGTAATGTTTCTTTATTATTTTATCTTAATTCATCAAATCAGCCATTTTTAATAACACCATTAAGAGAAAGATATAAGCCAGGTGCCTATAGTCCTAGCTGCTCAGGAGGCTGGAGCAGGAGGATCACTTGAGCCCACAAGTTGAAGGCCATCCTGGACAACACAGCAAGACAACATCTCCAAAAAAAAAAAAAAAAAAGCAGAAAGGAAGGAAGAAAAGAAGAAAGGAAGGAACGAAGGAAAGGAGGGAGGGAGGGAGGGAGGGAAAAAAGAATGATATAGTAAAGACCCACAGGAAAAATCTATAATAGAAAGAATAATGCTTCAGTTGAATGGCAAGAGAAGCCAGGCAGGATGGTGTGCTCCTGAAGTTCCAGCTACTCAGGAGGCTGAGGTGGGAGGATCACTTGAGGCCAGGAGTTCAAGATCAGCCTGGGCAACACAGTGAGACCCTGTCTCCCATCTCAAAAAAAAGAAAAAGAAAAAGGCAAAATTTCAGCACAAAATGAGGTATACATAGTAATATACTACAGGAAAACAGGTTTTTAAGCAGAAGTCAAAAGTTGTTTACAGCTGCCAAGAAATTAAGGTAACTTGCCTCTGCAACCCTACAAGAATGACATCTACAACTAGTATTCCACATATTTATTAATTCTCCTAAGTTGTTGACAGTATATATATTATTTTTCAAATGATGCTTAACATACTTTTTTTTTTTTTGGAGACAGAGTCTCACTCTGTCGCCTCGGCTGGAGTGCGGTGCGCGATCTTGGCTCACTGCAACCTCCACCTTCCATGTTCAAGCAATATTCCTGCCTCAGCCTCTTGAGTAGCTAGGATTACAGGCATGCACCACCATGCCTGGCTAATTTTTTTTTTTTTTTTTTTTTTGAAACAGAGTCTCGCTGTGTTGCTCAGGCTGGTGTGCAGTGGAACGATCTCGATTCACTGCAAACTCTGCCTCCTGGGTTCAAGCAATTCTCCTGCCTCAGCCTTCCAAGTAGCTGAGATTACAGGCACCCGCCATTACACCCGGCTAACTTTTGTATTTTTAATAGAAACGGGGTTTCACTGTGTTGGCCAGTTTGGTCTCAAACTCCTGACCTCAGGTGATCCACCTGCCTCGACCTCCCAAAAGTGCTAGGATTACAGGCGTGAACCACCATGCCCAGAGATGCCTGGCTAATTTTTGTATTTTTACTAGAGACAGGGTGTCGCCATGTTGGCCAGACTGGTGTCGAACTCCTGACCTCAGGTGATCCGCCAGCCTTGGCCTCCCAAAGTGCTGGTATTACAGGCGAGAGCCACTGCGCCTGGACAATGCTTAATATTCTTGATGAAGAAAACTTTTGAGCAACTTAAAAACCGTCTCACTCATTCATTAGTGACCATAAGTTCTCACTAGAAAGAAAATAATGCCATTAGGCAGCCTCATGGCTTGGTGATACTTTACCTAGAGTAAAGTAGCTGGGCACAGTGGCTCACGCCTGTAATCCTAGCACTTTGGAAGGCCAAGGTGGGTGGATCACTTGAGGTCAGGAGTTTGAGACCAGTTGGCCAACATAGTAAAATCCCATTTCTACTAAAAGTACAAAAAAATTAGCAAGGCATGGTGGCACGTGCCTGTAATCCAAGCTACTAGGGAGGCTGAGGCAGGAGAATCACTTGAACCCAGGAGGCAGAGGTTGTAGTGAGCCGAGATCACACCACTGCACTTCAGCCTGGGCAACAGAGTGAGACTCTGTCTCAAAAAATAAATAAGTAAATAAATAAAACAATAGAGCAAAGTAATCGTCAGTCTTTAAGACCATTTAACTCAGATCAACTTACTTAGGGGAAAAATTTTTTACTCAAGCTACTGTCACTAAGAGCTCAAAAGACGAAGCCTCATATATGCTAAGACATGTTGAAATCCGTGTATTAAAAAACCTTCAATTAGCCAGGCATGGTGGTGCACACCTGTAGTCCCAGCTACTTGGGAGGCTGAGGTGGGAAAATCACTTGAACCTGGGAGGCGTAGATTGCAGTGAGCCAAGATCACACCACTGTACTCCAGCCTGGGCGACAGAGCAAGACGCTGTCTCAAAAACAAAAACCTTTCTAGGCTGGGAATGGTGGCTTATGCCTATAATCTCGGCACTTAGGGGAGATGGAGGCAGGTGAATCACTTGAGCCCACAAGTTCAAGACCAGCCTGAGCAACAAGGTGAAACCCTGTCTCTACAAAAAATGCAAAAATTAGCCGGGTGTGGTGGCGCATGCCTGTAGTACAAGTTACTTGGGAGGCTGAGGTGGGAGGATGGCTTCAGCCCAGGAGGTGGAGGTTGCAGTGAGCTGAGATCATGCCACTGCACTCCAGCCTGGGCAACGGGGCCAGAGCCTGTCTTAAAAAAAAAACAAAACAAACAAACAAACAAAAAACAACCTCTAGTACAATGGCTTCCAAATCCTCTGGCTCTCATGAGAGTTGCAAATAGAGGCACCACTTCCCTTCTAACCTCTTCTTTTAAAACAAATTTAGGCCAGGTGCGGTGGCTCATGCCTGTGATCCCAGCACTTTGGGAGGCCAAGGCAGGCAGGTTACCTGAGGCTAGGAGTTTGAAACCAACACGGCCAACATGGCGAAACCATGTCTCTACTAAAAATACAAAAAATTAGCCAAACGTGGTGGTGGGCGCCTGTAATCCCAGCTACTCAGGAGGCTGAGGCATGAGAATCGCTTGAACCTGTGAGGTGGAGGTTGCAATGAGCCGAGATCACACTACTATACTCCAGTCTGTGTGACAAAGTGAGACTCCATCTCAAAAAAAAAAAAAAAAAAAAAATTTAGTGTATAAACTTAAATGCTTAGGAAAGTAAGCCCTTACACAGCACAGACCAAGTCTACATTGACCTATAGAAATATTGTGATGCTTGGGCCGGGCACAGTGGCTCACACCTGTAATCCCAGCACTTTGGGAGGCTGAGGTAGGCAGATCACCTAAGGTCAGGAGTTCGAGACCAGCCTGACCAATGTGGAGAAATCCCATCTCTACTAAAAATACAAAAGATGAGCCATGCATCGTGGCAGCCGCCTGTAGTCCCAGCTACTTGGGAGGCTGAGGCAGGAGAATGGTGTGAACCCAGGAGGTGGAGCTTGCAGTGAGTCAAGATCACGCCACTGCACTCCAGCCTGGGCTACAGAGCGAGACTCTGTCTCAAAAAAATAAATAAATAAAAATACAAAATTAGCCAGACATGGTGACGCATGCCTGTAATCCCAGCTACTTGGGAGGCTGAGGCAGAAGAATTGCTTGAACCCAGGAGGTGGAGGTTGTGGTGAGCCGAGATCGCGCCATTGCACTCCAGCCTGGGCAACAAGAGTGAAACTCCATCTCGAAAAAAAAAAGAAAGAACTATTGCATTTCTTAAAAATTTTCAGCCAAAACTGGGAGATTTCACATAAAATTTAGATGTACTATTTCTGACACTATGGGGTCTGCAGCACACCAGGTTGCAACAATCAGATGGAGCAGGGGTCAGCCAGGCACAGCCTGTGCGCAAATCCAGCCCACTACTGGTTTCCGTATAGTCCAAGAACTGAAAATCGTTTTTACATTTTTATATCACTGGGAAAAATCAAGAATAATATTTTGTGAATGTGAGAAGTATAGAAAATGTAAGTTTCAGTGTCCACAAATAAAGCTTTATTGGAAGACAGTCATGTCCATTTAATGAAACATTGTCTACAGCTGCTCTAACACTACAATGCAGCAGAGTTGAATAGCGCAACACAGACTGCACACTGCGTGGCTGACAACCTCCACTAAACCTCCAAAGACTGTCTTTTCTTTCTGCATATTAGCATTCTGTGTGTATATTTGTCCTCACTAGTTTATATGAAGAAACCATATAATAGATATTTAACAAATGCTTTACTAAATCCAACCCAAATAATGACATAACATAGAATGTGAGCCAGAAAACAGAAATTAAGACCCATTAAATTTTGGTCACTGCTCATTATCCTACATGAAATTCATAAAAGACTGTGAGGTATATCTTTTTTTGTTTTGTTTTTGTTGTTGTTGTTGTTGTTTTGTTTTGTTTTTGAGACACAGTCTTGTTCTCTTGCCCAGGCTGGAGTGCAATGGCGCAATCACGGCTCACTGCAACCTCCACCTCCCAGGTTCAAGCAATTCTCCTGCCTCAGCCTCCCAAGTAGCTGGGATTACAGGTGCACGCCACTGCGCCCAGCTAATTTTGTATTTTTAGTAGAGATGGGGTTTCACCATGTTAGCCAGGCTGGTCTCGAACTCCTGACCTCAGGTGACCCGTCCACCTCAGCCTCTCAAAGTGCTGGGATTACAGACGTGAGCCACCATGCCCAGCCCAAGGTATATTTTTAAATCGATATTTAAGATTTCTGCAAATGAACATTTATATCTACACAGTACACACATAAATCCTATTAAGGAGGTGCAACATAATCTCATTCTAAACTAGATCAATCTCATGAGGGAAGAAAAGTTTTTGCTTATTTTCATCAGATTTTTAAATTACATACCTAGAAGACTTAGAAAACAAAATAGACCAAGACATTGTCAGCAACACATCTACAGCCTGGTGTTAATAAGCACAAAAGTCATACCAGGGTATGAATCTCATGGATCCTTTCCTTACCTGAATAGCTGTCAGTTTATGTCTTACATTCACTAGGATAATGCGTGCTAATAACAGTAGTATAGGCTTCGAGGTCAGGCTGTAGATTGATTCACCATCTAGAGTGAGCAGGCTCAGAACAAATGCATCCAGTCCTTTAACCTGAAAAAAGGATTATAAACTAAGATGATATAATTTAACAAAATATTAATCTTTATATGTCTTGTAATAATACAAAGATTTTCCAGTCAACTCAGCTTTGAAACAAAAGCATTAATATATTACACAGCAATTGGCACTGGACAGAATTATAACACTGCAAATGCCCTTAGACATCTATAAATCCAGCCTGCCCTGATGGATGGCCACCCATCTGATCAAACTTGATTTTTTGGGTTTTTGGTGTTTTGTTTTTGTTTTTGTTTTTGTTTTGAGATGGGAGTCTCACTCTGTTGCCCAGGCTGGAGTGCAGTGGCGTGATCTTGGCTCACTGCAACTTCCATCTCCCGGGCTCAAGTGATCCTCCTGCCTGGGCGAATAGCTGGGACTCCAGGCACGCACCACCACATCCAGCTAAGTTTTTGTATTTTAAGTAGAGATGGGGTTTCACCATGTTGGCCAGGTTGGTCTCGAATTCCTGACCTTAAGTGATCCCCTGCCTTGGTCTCCCAAAGTGCTGGGATTACAGGTGAAAGCTTCTGCGCCTGGCATGTTCAAACTTTAGAGAAACAAGGAACTCAAAAAAAATGCTAGCATTGAAGAGATATCATCACTTCATAAATTCACTTACAACAAAATATTATCTCAATGAAAAGCATCCCTATATTAAAGTATTTATAGTAAATAGTGTATTTGATATTTATATTAAACACCTACATTTCACTTAAGCTTCAATACCTGGAAAATGTCATTATGAAGTAAGTCTCTACTCCATAATTTCTATCAAGCCAAACAATCAACAAGGTCTCATGCATCAAATGCAGAATGGGCATATGACCACACACCAGAGTGAGCAGAAGGCTGAAAAAAAAAAGGATGCCTTTGAAAAATGCACTCTCCTGTTGTACAGAGATTTTTTTACAATGGACAAGGTTGTTAAAATTTGGATGGCAGAATTTTAACAGCTCCATACAATAGCGAGCAAGAATCTTCACCCATCAGGAACATGGGTTCCAATGTCACATGCACAGGACAGTGTCCTTTCTCTGCTTCTCATTAGTTTGTGAGCACATGTAAATTTTTCCCACAATTGTTTTCCTGATGAAGCCTCAGTTTCATCAATTATGAAATGAAATAACTGGGCCGGGCACGGTGGCTCACATCTGTAATCCCAGCACTTTGGGAGGCCAAGGCGGGCGGATCACGAGGTCAGGAGATCAAGACCATCCTGGCTAACACGGTGAAACCCTGTCTCTATTAAAACTACAAAAAATTAGCCGGGCGTGGTGGTGGGTGCCTGTAGTCCCAGCTACTTGGGAGGCTGAGGCAGGAGAATGTTGTGAACCCAGGAGGTGGAGCTTGCAGTGAGCCCAGATTGTGCCACTGCACTCCAGCCTGGGTGACAGAGCAAGACTCCGTATCAAAAAAAAAATGAAATAACTGAACCTATACCTCAGAGGGTTCTTGTAAGGATTAAACTAAACAATCCAAGTAATGCCACTCCCTGGCTCAATACTGAGTATTTTGAATACTAAATATTTGAATACTGAATATTTTGAATATTGTTTAAAGTATTCAATAGAAGAAAGAAGGAGGGCCGGGCACAGTGGCTCATGCCTGTAATCCCAGCACTCTGGAAGGCCACGCGGGTGGATCACCTGAGGTCAGGAGTTCGAGAACAGCCTGGCCAACATGGTGAAACCCCATCTCTACTAAAAATACAAAAATTAGCCGGGCATAGTGGCACATGCCTGTAATCCCAGCTACTCAGGAGGCTGAAGCAGGAGAATCGCTTGAACCTGGGAGGCGGAGGTTACAGTGAGCCGTGATCATGCTACTGCACTCCAGCCGGGGCGACAGAGCGAGACTGCCTTAGAAAAAAATAAAAAACAATAAATAAAAGAGAAAGAAGGAAATAACTGTGAGTTCATCCTCTGTCCTATTTTCATCATCATTCAAGAGTGTAATAGAGGAATAAAGATTTAATATGAATTACCTCCACAACCACAAAGCCTACTGTTATCTCTGCTAAGCATACAAGGAATTATTTAAAAAAAAAACTTCAATAATTAATGAAATATTATCAAGTTTTTACAACTGCCTCAATTTTAGAGGTGAGGAAACAGATCCATAAAAATTAAGTGAAGCCCATGTTTCCAATTCCCAAATCAATTCCCAAACCAGCCCACGCTGGTAGAAAGAACATTGGTTTGGGAACTGGAAACAGATCTCTCTACCTCTTCCTGCCCCTCAGGAAGGGCTAGGGCTATGCTAAGCATTTGGAGAGCCTCAAGGACATGGCCAGGATGACTTTTAGCCTTCTGACTGGCACTACACCATGGTGGCGTGTGTAACTGAAATACAGACACAAAAAGAGAAGACCTTCATCATGAGTTCAGTCTTGGACATGATGAGGAAATGAGGTATTCTGTGAGAACCCCAACTGGAGGTACTGAATGTACAGTGAATATACTGACTTGAGAACTCAGAAGAACCTGCCTAAAGTGCCCAAACTAGACCTGCAGCCTCATCGGATCATGTTGTAAATTCAAGTAGATATAACAAGCTGATTTCCTAAAGCCCAAGCCAAACTGGTAAAGCACAAGAAGATAATAAGGAATGTCTTTAAGAAAGAGAATCCTGGCCAGGCCCGGTGGCTCACACCTGGAATCTCAGCACTTTGGGAGGCTGAGGCAGGCAGATCATAAGGTCAAGAGCTTGAGAGCAGCCTGGCCAATAAGGTGAAACCCCGTCTCTATTAAAAAATACAAAAATTAGCCAGGCACGGTGGCGGGCGCCTGTAGTCCCAGCTACTCAGGAGGCTGAGGCAGGAGAATCACTTGAACCCGGGAGGCGGAGGTTGCAGTGAGCTGAGATTGCGCCACTGCACTCCAGCCTGGGCAACACAGTGAGACTCCGTCTGAAAAAAAAAAAGAAAGAAAAAGAAAAAGAATCCTTCTCCTAATCACTCTGAGACAAGAAATATGTCTGCCTGTTCTACCACAAATTTCAGGTCATTATCTTCTACATGAATCCCTAAATATAAAGAACAAACAAGTAATTTAACATAGCAACAAATAAAAATTATACAGGGAGACAGCACATGGTATACTATCTGGAGAGCATTACCTGTGACACTCAAGCTAGGTTGTGAGTACAAAGGAGATTTATTATTTAAATTGTATACATTTCATATGCTCTTTTAAGTGTTGGCAGTAGTTCCAATAAAAAAGTTAAAATCAAAGACTTAGTCAAAGTTTCCTACAACTCCAAATGACCTCCATCAAGTGATTTTTCACTGCTAAAAGAGGCAAGTTCAAAGCATCCTTTTCCCACAAACACTATGCTGTCCTCTCCTCTAAATTCCTGCTCATATGACTGCACCTAGAATGGATATTTTCCTCTTCTCTATCCATTTTCTAACCATCCTTCAGGTTCTAGCTCAAGGTCCACTTCCAACTAAAAGGTCTTCTTTGACAAAATCCAGCTTCCACAAATCTCTTTGTTAATGGCAATATTTCTTATGGTCTGAACTTCTCATGAAACTCATTTCCATATTGTTTTGATTTGCTACCTGAATTTACAGGTGCTTCTACACTAGTATAGAAGAGTACTGGATTTGGAACCAGAAAATGTGGATTCCAATGCCCCAGCTACAGATCTCTGACAAGATTCTTTTACCACTCTGAGCTTCAGTCTTTTCACCTATAGATTACCTCAAATCTGTAAGGACCAAATTGGCACAAGAAATGTGAATTAAGGCCAGGCGCAGTGGCTCACACCATAATCCTAACACTTTGGGAGGCCGAGGCGGGTGGATCACCTGAGGTCAGGAGTTTGAGACCACCCTGGCCAACATGGTGAAACCCCGTCTCTACTAAAAATACAAAAATTAGCCGGGCGTGGTGGTGAGCACCTGTAGTCCCAGCTGCTTGGGAGGCTGAGGTGGGAGAATCATTTGAACCCGGGAGGCAGAGACTGCAGTGAGCCGAGATCGCACCACTGCACTCCAGCCTGGGCGACAGAGTGAGACTCCGTCTCAAAACAAAAAAAAAGAAATGCGAATTAAGTACCATTCAAACCACACATCAGTGTTCAGGAGATATTTATGGCTTTGGCTGTTTGGTGGATTTCTAATCTATACTATAGGGCCATAGAAGCCAGAAACTGATTCATACATAATAAGAGAGGGAATGAGATGTTTCCTAAGTACATTTCTAGATAACTGAAGCTTATCTCTTTAACTGCTACAATCATTTAGGGTTTGGGGTTTTTTTACTCCCATTTTGGATGAAAACCTCTGTAGAATATAAATTATAAATTCCCTTCATAGACATAAGACACAAAACATCTTTTAACCTTTCAGTTATAATTAGGATCAGCATTATGGATTAAAATTACTCTAATGAAGTATATATAGTGACTCACTAAGCTGATATGCAAAGAGTTAATTATTGTGGTTTTCACTTTATGCTTGTTTTTGCACTTCTTCTCTTTCTACCCCCCCATCAAATTATTAACACATATCTCTAATAACTCTATTCCACATTTACTTGCTACACCCAATTCTTTTTCTTTTTTCTTTTTTTGAAATGGAGTCTCACTCTGTCACCCAGGCTGGAGTGCAGTGGCGTGATCTTGGCTCACTGCAACCTCCGCCTCCCGGGTTCAAGCAATTGTCCTGCCTCAGCCTCCTGAGTAGCTGGGATTACAAGCGTGCACCACCACACCCGGCTAATTTTTGTATTTTTAGTAAGACGGAGTTTCACCATGTTGATCAGGCTGGTCTTGAACTCCTGACCTCGTGAACCGCCCGCCTTGGCCTTCCAAAGTGCTGGGATTACAGGCATGAGCCACTGTGCCCGGCCTACTTGCTACACCTAATTCTGAGAAACCAGGTAACACTAGGTCTGTTTTGCTGCACGAGTTCTGGATACAATTTGGTGATTTTGAACATAGCTATCAATCACTCAGCTTTTTCCAGGCTGAGTGGTGGATAGCTACGTTCAAAATCACCAAAGTGGCTGGATAAATCAAAGTTCTTACTTTGATTTAAACCATACTTCTTTTGTAGATCATCTCATACTAGCCAGACCCTCTATATAGGAGCTCAAGATTCCTGAGGAACTCAAACTGCAAGCTCTATTGGCGACACACTGGCACAGATCGATAATATTATCTTCACAATGGATAATAATCACCATGAAGCAATGCTGTGCCAGAAACTTTAATAAAGTATTTGTAATTTAAAGCCACCCCTGGGAGCAAACCACTCCTGGGAGCCATTCTTAAGTACAGTATCAAAACTTACCTGCAAGCCGGGAATGGTGGCTCACGCCTGTAAACCCAGCACTTTGGGAGGCTGAGGTGGGAGGATCACTTAAGGTCAGGAGTTTGGGACCAGCCTGGCCAACATGGAGAAACCCCACATCTAGTAAAAATACAAAAATTAGCCAAGTGTGGTAGCACACGCCTGTAATCCCAGCTACTAGGGAGGCTGAAGCAGAAGAATTGCTTGAACCCATGGGGCAGAGGTTGCAGTGAGCTGAGATCGCGCCATTGTACTCCAGCCTGGGTGACAGAGCAAGACTCTGTCTCAAAAAAAATTAATTAATTAATTAGTTAAAAACTTACCTGAAATAAAATTAAACAGATTTCCAGATTTGCTGCTTTGCCATTAAAGATCTTTATGTACAGCGCTCACACCTATAATCCTAGCACTTTGGGAGGCTGAGGCAGGCAGACCACTTGAGCCCAGGAGTTTCAGACCAGCCTGGGCAACATGGCAAAACTCCATCTCTACAAAAAAATTAGCTGGACATGTTGGCATGCAACTGTAGTCCCAACTACTTGGGAGGCTGAGGTGGGAAGATCGCCTGAGCCTGAGTAGGTTGAGGGTGCAGTGAGCTGTAATCCAGCCACTGTACAACAGCCTGGATGACTGAGTGAGATACCATCTCAAAAAAAAAAAATCTTTATGTAACTGAGGTGATACAACCAACTAAACAACTGGTGCAGCTGTCTGTACTTTCATTAAAAAACACAGCTAACACAGCTCCATAAAATGGAGTGTGTATGAAGAGGAGTTTGACAAAGGAACTTCTGGAAATCTGTGAAAATCTGATCAATGAACAAGCATTCTTAGTACTTTTGTGCAAACCATAAAGTCATGTTTCTTTCCTACTATGAGTTCCAGTTTATAAAGACCTGCTTATAAAAAATAAATAACATAATAATAATTACATACAACATTTTCAAGAAGCATACCTCACTGAATTGCTGGAACAAAACAGATGACAAAAAGTCCTGAGGGTGTAAGTCAACAGGGGGCCCCGTCCAGTTGCTCTGAACAAAAAGTTGCAAACTGCTCACACCAAGTAGAAATATCAACTGTTGTCTGCATATAAGAATGGTTAAAGAAATAAATATGAACTACTATCACTGTATAATCTCAAACACACTATTCCATTTCAGTTTTATTAAGAAAATAATATCTATCAACATTTATTGAGACTATCCTAGAGTATTACCAAAAAAAAAAATTTCTAAAACTTAAAACAATTTAGGTTAGCTAGGCACAGTGGTTCATGCCTGTAATTCCAGCACTTTGGAAGGCCACGGTAGGAGGATCATTTGAACCCAGGAGTTCAAAACCAGCCTGAGAAACATAGTGAGACCCTGTCTCTACAAAAAAATTAAAAGTTAGCCGGCATGGTGGTACATCCCAGCTACTCAAGAGGCTGATGCATGAGGATTGCTTGCAGCCCAGGAGTTTGAGGCTGTAGTAAGCTTTGATCATAGCACTGTACTCCAGCCTAGATGATAAAGCGAGACCCTGTCTCTCTTAAAAAAAAAAGAAATTAGGTCTACAATATCCAATATTATAGCCACGAGCCAAACATGGTTTAAATTTGCATTAGTTAAAATTAATAAAATTTATAATTCAGTTCCTTAGTCATACTTTCCATATTTCAAGTGCTCAATAGTTAAGTGTGGCTAGTGGCTACCATGTGGGCAATGAAGATAGAGAGCACTTCTATCTCCACGGAAAATTATCTTGAACGGTGTTGATTTAGGTTCTGATCAGACATCTATAAGTTTTTCTTGCACTCCCTTTAACAGCTCTGATGTTGCAAGATGTATAGAAAACTGACTTTATACAAAAGAAAAGTGATGATATAAAGTTGTTGCTAATTGTTTACCAATCCCATACCACCAAATGCTAGAACAACAACAACAACAAAACATATAGATATTTTAGTGAAAACTCTATTTTTCAGTCTTGCTGTGATGTGAGACAGGGATAGGCAAACTTTTTCTAAATATGAAATATTTTAGGCTTTGCATATCATGTTTGTTTTTTTCCAACCCTTTAAAAATGTAAAACCCATTAATTCTTAGCCACTTAGTTAGCCTGCCAGCCATAATGTGCCAAACCCTAAATTAGGATCTAAATAGGTACAGATCCAACTCTAGCAAATAACAGCCAGGGAATCCTGGAGTTTCATTCTGAAGAGAAAGTATTAGTAATCACTTTTTTCCCCACAGCCCCTAGGCCCTTCCTTAAAAGGAAGAGTCTTTCAGAAAAAGAAAAAAAAAAATCAAACATACAAGCCTATGGTAGCAAAAATATAAAACTCTGGATGCAATGCAAATAAGCAGCATTAGAGAAAAAAGATAACAAAAGAGCTGGTATGCAATCAGAAGTTTGGAAATTTGGAGAAAACAGCCTTAATAAACTGTCCTAATCAAAAAACAAAATCCATAAGGTGAACTGAAAATACACTTTAACTTTCAAATGTCTGAAAATGAGTCAACTGAAATGTCTCTTTTTAGCTTTATGTGACAAGATAGAAATCTGGTATATCAGTGAATAATGCATTTGTGTGAATGTGTTGTTTTAATGGGTGCCACAAGGCTAGTTGCTATGAGAGTGCACACATATAAGAAAGCAATGAGAATCCAGCCGGGCGGAGTGACTCATGCCTATAATCCCCACACTTAGTGAGGCAGAGGTGAGGATTGCTTGAGCCCAGGAGTTCGAGACCAGCCTGAGCAACATATCAAGACACCATCTCTACAAAAAGGAACTAAAAAAAAAAAAAAAAAAGAATGATACCAAAGGAACATAACTACCAGTAAACTAAAAAAAATTAAATGGAGGCTGGGCGAAGTGGCTCACGTCTGTAATCCCAGCACTTTGGGAGGCCGAGGTGGGCAGATCACCTGAGGTCAGCAGTTCAAGACCAGCCTGGCCAACATGGTGAAACCCCATCTCTACTAAACATACAAAAAAAATGAGCCAGGTGTGGCACAGGCCTGTAATCCCAGCTACATGGGAACCTGAGGGAAGAGAATCACTTGAACTTGGGAGGCGGAGGTTGCAGTGAGCCGAGATCACGCCTCTGCACTCCAGCCTGGGCAACAGAGTGATACTCCATCAAAAAAAAAAAAGAAAAAAGAAAATGAATAATATTAATTTTCAAAATAAAATTAAAAGCCTGTAGTAGCATTCTTTTGCAAACTCCTTATGAATATGGGTTATGCTTTATTCATCCTCAGAACCTCCACATCTACTACAATAGTTTATTTGTTGAAGGACTAAATGAAGCTATTTCCTAGAAATAATGGTAAAATAAAATTGCATGCATTTATAAGATAATTAAAGCTTGACATGGTTGCCACAGATAGTAGACGAAAGATAGAGGTATCAAATTTATAACAATGAAATATAAGCCACTGAAAAGCTTAGGTTTCCCTGCTGTGTAACTATCTGCTATACTTAACCCTATAAAATTACACAAACTTTAATGGAAGAAGGTAAACCAAGGGCTTCCTTACAAAAACATTAAGTTCTCTGAGCTCTATAAAGATAATAATCTAAAACATAATAAATAGTTACAAATTAGCACTCAGCTATGCAGAAATAACAAGATTGAAAGTATGTTTTTTGTTTTTTGGTTTTTTTTTGAGACAGAGTCTCGCTCTGTCGCCCAGGCTAGAGTGCAATGGCGGGATATTGGCTCACTACAACCTCCACCTCCCAGGTTCAAGCGATTCTTCGGCCTCAGCCTCCCTAGCAGCTGGGATTACAGGCGCATGCCACCATGCCCAGCTAATTTTTGTATTTTTGTATAGACGGGGTTTCACCATGTTTGCCAGGCTGGTCTTAAACTCCTGACCTCATGTGATCCGCCCGCCTCGGCCTCCGAAAGCACTGGGACTACAGGCGTGAAGCACTGCACCCAGCCTGAAAGTATGTTTTTAAGTTAAAGGAAATAAGGTCTGAAGTTTTGCCGGTGGGTAAAGCCGACCAGACCTAAGCATTTGCAGTTAACACCAAAATATGTGCCAGTCTCATATATGAAACCATTTTATCCTGCACCACTTTACTTCTTCATTCTGGATGGACTTCTGGATGAGTTTTTACATAGATTACTTGGTACACCATGAGTCTTGAGTAAAATATAAGGCAAGGTTTCTCAACTGCTAAAATCAGGGCCTTACCCTGTCAAGGTGCTATTAAATGTATTTGCTCTGTTCCTCTATGAAAATTTCAAATAAAATTCTACCTTTCCGTTGTGTCCAAATCTGTTGAGTAATCCAGGAATGTTACTACCTGCTTCTCCAGGTAGCTATCAATCTTTTCTTCAGCGGTTGTTGTTGAATTAAAAATATTTTGAGTCATTGAATTTAAGAATATGGCTTCATAGTTCCCTTCCAGTAGCAATTGTAGGAAAGATCCACTCTCTGTAATATAAAAAATTAGTGCGGTAATCCAAAAAAAATTATTTTTCATACCGTAAAGGATAACACTATTAGGTAAATCTACCATTTTAGTGTGCAAAAACAATCTATAGACTTAGAATGATTACTGTATGTCAGTCACAAGGCACTCAGTAAATTTCCATCATTCTACAAACATTCTCTCTCCTAGAATTAGCAGCTCACTCATACTGACTATGAGCCCCAAAGTGGAAGTCAGCCCCAGAAATAATATTCCTCATTAATAGGTATTTAGTCTTTTGCTGGGAAATTCACAAAGATTCCTACTGACAATACAAAAGTTTCCTTAGTCAAGGTTCTAAAACTTTTCACAATCTGGTTCTTTCTACCTCCATTATTTTCTCTTCTTGAAAAGTCACTCCAAGAGCGCTGGTTTACTCATTGTTTCCCTAATGTCCCATGCGTATTCCTGCCTCCACACTTTGCACTTGTGATATCGCCTGTTGAACTCTTCTCCACTTGTTAGTCTTACCCTTTAATCCAAAATCAGCTCAAGTCTAACTTCTTCTAGGAAAGTTTTCCAGGCCACCAAAGTTCAAACTTCCTGTCACTGGAAGCACCTACTGTGTCACACAAGTGCCCACACACACACACATACACACAGAGTACTTACACACTACACTGTTCATTATTACTCTTTTGGGTCCAGCCTAAATCCCACAACCAGATGTGCCAGTGCATGTGCCTTTTAACTCTTTATCTCTCTGGTAAATATTCATTGCTCACAAGAATTAATCTTTGCCTCCTAGGCTGGGCGCGGTGGCTCATGCCTGTAATCCCAGCACTTTGGGAGGCCGAGGTGGGTGGATCACGACGTCAGGAGATCGAGACCATCCTGGCTAACACGGTGAAACCCCGTCTCTACTAAAAATACAAAAAAAAAAATTAGCTGGTCGTGGTGGCAGGCGCCTTTAGTCCCAGCTACTCGGGAGGCTGAGGCAGGAGAATGGCGTGAACCCGGGAGGTGGAGCTTGCAGTGAGCCGAGATCGCGCCACTGCACTCCAGCCTAGGCGACAGAGCGAGACTCTGTCTCAAAAAAATAAAAAAAATAAATCATTGCCGCCTAGGCCGTGCATGGTGGCTCATGGCTGTAATCCCAGCACTTTGGGAGGCCGAGGCGGGTGGATCACCTGAGGTCAGGAGTTCCAGACCAGCCTGACCAACATGATGAAAGCCGTCTCTACTAAAAACACAAAATTAGCCGGGCATGGTGGTGCATGCCTGTAGTCCCAGCTACTTTGGAGGCTGAAGCAGGAGAATCGCTTGAACCGGGGAAGCGGAGGTTGCAGTGAGCCGAGATGGCACCAGTGCACTCCAGCCAGAGCAACAAGAGGGAGACTCCATCCCCCCAAAAAAACAACTTTGCTGCCTCATTTTAGCTCCTCTGCTTACCAACAGTGTGACCTTAAATAAATTACTTAACCAGACCCGGGCGCGGTGGCTCAGGCCTGTAATCCCAGCACTTTGGGAGGCTGAGGCAGGCGAATCATCTGAGGTCAGGAGTTCCAGACCAGCTAGGCCAACATGGTGAAACCTCGACTCTACTAAAAATACAAAATTAGCCGGGCGTGGTGGCGCATGCCTGTAATCCCAGCTACCCTGGAGGCTGAGGCAGGAGAATCACTTGAACCCGGGAGGCGGAGGTTGCAGCGAGCCGAGATCGCGCCATTGCACTCCAGCCTGGGCAAAAAGCAAAACTCCGTCTCAATAAATAAATAAATAAATAAATAAATAAATAAATAAATAGATAAAATAAAATTACTTAACCCAACTGTATTTACAGATCTTCACCGCAAAATGGGATTAAAAATTGAATCTACCTTAAGTATCTACTATAAGCATTAAATGACTGAGTACATGTTAAGGGCTTAGAAAAATAACTGACATTGCCATTGTCATTATTACTGAACCTGGGCGGTAAGAAGTTTTGCGCAAAGAAAGTGAGGACCACGCCCACCATGTCAAAGACTAAACGACCCAAAGCCTCAAGGAATCAGCTAGACTGTGTTAGGGAAAAATGAAGGGAGGGATGAGAATCAGTCGCTGCCATCCCTTTTCCTCACAGTTCCCACGATAGCCTAAGGCCCGGTAGGTGCGCCTCTCACCTGAACCGACGACCCCCTCCTGTTTCCATTGCTGCCGCTCAGCCTCAGTGGGGAATCCCCTCAGAATTGCCAGCTCCGGGGTCCACATCACCCCAGACACCGCTGCAGCCAAAACAGGCTCCCACGAGGGCCACACGGGAGTCAACAAAAGAAAGTGAAAACAGGAGAGTCCAAAGGCGCTGAAATCTAGTGGCGACAGTTACCGTAAATACACCTGCGGCCCTAGAATTCCATGTGCGGATACTACCTCAAGGAGGCGGCCATAACAGCAGCGCGGGGCACCCTGGGAAAAACACGCACGCTCTCTGGTCTGGCTTCCGCCTAGGAGAAGAACCCGAGCTTGAGTAAGGAGCCTGTTGGGTGGTTATGCCCCACCCCGGGGCGGGCAATAGGGGGAGTTGAGGGCGCGGTCGCGCTCAGCCCCGCCCCCAGTGGGACCGCTTCCAAGAACTGTGAACGTGGAAGTGAGTGTGCCTCCCACCGAGGGCTAGGGTTCAAATGCAACTCAAAACGGACGTCTTGGCCAAAGCAGTTTGATTAGAAGGGCTAGAGTTGTGATTCTTAAAGCATTTTGGGTTAGAACGCTCTCGACAACCCGATGAAAACCACAGTCCTTCGCGCAGAGTGCAGGTGGGCCCTTGCTCTCAGCCTAAGGGTACCCTCTCAGGGAATCACAGACCCTCTGACGTGGAGTCGGTGAAGCCCAGGTTGGAACCCCGTCAGCATAGCATGGGTCTTTCGGCGAATGAGCGTGTAAGGAAAGGATCTGGTTTTGACACTGCTCTACATGAATCATGGCCGGGTGGGAAATCTGCCCCTGCCGCTGGTGCAGGGAAGTTTTTGGAACACTGTCGGAACGCTGTAGAAGAGTGATCCCAGGGGTGATCACAAAGAAATTGCAAGGAGACAAACCAGCCTCCGCTGGTACCTTATTTGCACTTCTTTGAATCTTCCTAGCAGCACTCCAAAGAAACAGTTAGAGGGCGGGCGCGGTAGCTCACGCCTGTAATCTCAGCACTTTGGGAGGATGAAGCGGATGGATCACCTGAGGTCAGGAGTTCGAGACCAGCCTGGCCAATATGGTGAAACCCGTCTCTACTAAAAATACAAAAATTAGCCGGACGTAGTGGGGCACCCCTGTAAACCCAGCTACTCGGGACGGTGAGGCGGGGGAATTGCTTGAACCCGGGAGGCGGAGGTTTCAGTGAGCTGAGATGGTGCCACTGCACTCCAGCCTGGGCAATAGGAAAGAGGGAGGGAGGGAGGGAAGAAGGAAGGAAGGGAGGGAGGGAGGGAAGGAGGGAAGGAAAACAGGACTATGGCTTTGTCCCATTGGCTTGACACCTGTACTGAGATATGTCATGTAAGAGCCAGGAGAAAACTGCAGGGTAACTCTGACCACAAGAGCAAAAGCTCTCTGAAAAGAGGCTGACCCGGTACCCAGCTCCAAGGAAGAAGCTAAATAAATGTTAATTCACTTTCTTACTCAGTAAAGAGCCACTCCAGAATGTGAAGGGAGAGGAACTCAGCTCAGCTCATTTCAGCCATTGCCATCAGATACCAAAGGAAGCCGGACCTGACTGTGATTGGAGAAGAGCGGATGCCCTAAAATGTCCTCCCACTGAGAAGTAATTAAAAACTGTTTTTCAGGCCGGGCGCAGTGGCTCACGCCTGTAATCTCAGCACTTTGGGAGGCCGAGGCGGGCGGATCATGAGGTCAGGAGATGGAGACCATCCTGCCTAACAAGGTGAAACCCCATCTCTACTAAAAATATTTTTTTAAAAAATTAGCCGGGCGTAGTGGCGGGCGCCTGTAGTCCCAGCTGCTCAGGAGGCTGCCGCAGGAGAATGGCCTGAACCCAGGAGGCGGAGGTCGCAGTGAGCCAAGATCGCGCCACTGCACTCCAGCCTGGGCAGCAGAGCGAGACTCCGTCTCAAAAAAATAAACAAACAAAAAAAACCCCACTATTTTTCTAGAAAATGATACTTGACCAGGTTGTCTGTTCATTTCCTTAAGTATAAAAGCCAGCACTGTCTAAACTAATTTGATAATTGTTAAAGATGAACGTCTGTAAAAACACACTGGCCGCTCTGCCAAAGTTCCTCACCTGTATGTAGCACCCCGTTAATCCACATAGTAAACTTGCAACTTTCAGTTAAATTCAAGGTTGGTTTGTTTTAAATGTGGTATGCTAGATGATGATGGTGACTGAAGTCTGCCTAATCTCCCTTCAAGCAAAGTGAATTCCAGTAATAAAGTAGGTGGGGAATATGGTCTCGATTAAAAATATGTACATAGTGAGTGGAAATTGAGCAGGCAATGAAATATCTACTGTAGGATTCAGTATAGAATGCCTTGGCTGACGAGTCTATTGGGATCCTGTATGTCACTATCTAAAAGTCTTTTTTTCTTGGGCTGGTCAGATTTCTCCAAAAGACTCTTTAAATCTCCTACCTGGAAGGTGAGGCTCTGGCTGCCACAGTTCCAGGGCCCAGTGGAGATAGAAAGCCAGAAGTCTCCATATTCAAGACTAAGAATGAGGTAAGTGAGAGATACTTTTAACAGAATTTAGGACTATCCTTGGCTTATTTTATGCCTCTAATCCATGTTGTTTCCTTTCTCGTCTCTTATGTCAAGTAGTTCCCAACCTATTACAAAATCTCATCTTCTCTAAACTAGTGATTCTAGCTAAATGTTTATAGTAATGTTTGGTCTACAGTAAAAAATAAATACAATTATAACACCTCTATTTTGAAATACTGTGTGACAAGGAAACAAGGTTTTGCATCGTTTCTTCCAAAAGGAGAAAAAATAGGAAGGAGGATGGCTGGAGATGTAAATTCAACAAGTATTACAAGAGGCTAGGAGATTGGAGAAAATAATGGTGCCATGGGAGCATCAGAGGGGTCAAGGAGGACCAGATCAGAGTTTGGTTGCACTGACTAGAAGGAAGCACAGGGCAAGGACTGGCTCACTCTCTGAAGGAAAGCGGTGGTTGCAGGGCCATTGTTCCGAGGCACACAGGGTTTGGAAAGAGCAGGGGACCAACGGTGTCAGAAGAAGGAAGAATTGTTATGTCAGGAGAAGCCTTCTGGAGAATATTGGTCTTGGGAGACCAGATTTTAAGCTTCATACAACAATTTTATAAAAAGCATTATTCAGGTATAATTGGCATAAAGTGCACATATTTTAACTGTACAATTTGTTAGGTTTTAATTTAGGTATGTACCCATGAACCATCACCACAATCAAGACGGTGAACACATCCATCACTCCTCAAAGTTTCCTTGTTCCTCTTTATAATCCGGCCCTCTTGCCATCCCCATCCTCTACACTCCAAGCAACCACTGATCTGCTGTCACTATTGATGAGTTTGCATTTTCTAGATTTATATAATGGAATCATACAGTATATACTTTTTTTCTGGCTTCTTTCACTTAGCATAATTATTTTGATATTCTTATATAGTACGTATCAATGTTCATTTAAAAAATATAACTGAAGAGTATGTATTGTATGAATACATCACAATGTTTATTTATTCATCTGTGGAGGGATGTTGAAGTTGTTTCCGGTTTTTGGCTACTTCAAATAAAGCTGCCACAAACATTTGCAAACACTGTTAAAAATTATTATTAAATGTGAGCTCTGTTAATGAATATGAAAGGAGATGGAAGGGTCATGAAATGCTATTCGCAATCCTGACTTCCTTATGCTTGAGCTAATGACAAATCCAGCCTCCCTTTCACCACTTAAAAAGATAGGAGACAGAATTAGTTCAAACACATGGCTGGGTGTGGTGGCTCACTTCTGTAATCCCAGCACTTTGTGAGGCCAAGGCGGGCGGATCACCTGAGGTCAGAAGTTTGAGACCAGCCTGGCCAAGATGGTGAAACGCCGTCTCTAATAAAAAAATTAGCTGCACGTGATGACACACGCCTGTAATCCCAGCTACTAGGGAGGCTGAGGTGGGAGGATTGCTTGAACCCGGGAGGTGGAGGTTGCAATGAGCCGAGATTGCACCACTGCACTCCAGCATGGGCGACAAAGCAAGACCCAGCTGGGTGTGGTGGTGCACACCTATAATCCCAGCTACTCGGGAGGGAGGCTCAGGCATGAGAATCGCTTGAAGCCGGGAGGCAGGGGTTGCAGTGAGCTGAAATCATGCCACTGCACTCCAGCCTGGGCGACAGAGCCGAGGCTCTGTCTCAGAAAAAAAAAAGTTTTACATCTTAAGTCTCATAGGTGCTAACAGATACTAACAGAAGAGGGGAACTATTGTTTGAGTATACTGAGGACTGGGCGCGGTGGCTCACACCTGTAATCCTAGCACTTCAGGTGGCCGGGACGGGCGGATCACGAGGTCAGGAGATGGAGACCATCCTGGTTAACATGGTGAAACCCCACCTCTATTAAAAATACAAAAAAGTAGCCAGGCGTGGTGGTGGGTGCCTGTAGTCCCAGCTACTTGGGAGGCTGAGGCAGAAGAATGGCGTGAACCCGGGAGGTGGAGCTTGCAGTGAGCCGAGATCCCACCACTGCACTCCAGCCTGGGCAACAGAGCAAGACTGTCAAAAAAAAAAAAAGAAAGAAAGAAAAGAAAAATAGAAGATGGGGTGAGGTGGGGGTCACCTGCTAGAAGCAAGGGCAGGCTGATTGAAGGGAGGGGTAGTTGGTATGCTTCCGTATCTCCATAGTGTGATGCTTTTTCCCTAGCAGTTGGCAAATTGAGACCAACTGATAGAGATTAAGTTATCAAGTACTAAACATAGGGTCTAGGACATAGATACCAAAAAATGTTAGCAATTCTTAGCTAAGTATTAGGGGTTCCTCGTTTGAGGCAGACGAGGGTATAGTTTTCTCATTGCGAAATCAGAAGCCAGATGATTGAAGAGTATAGGCTTTTCCTAGAGCTGCATGAAGTCTTCTCAGGGATCTGTCCTTCCTTGGCTCACAATCTAAGGTGATCGCTTCGGCTCAGAGACTGAAATTGGTGATAACTGGAAGACTCCCAAAATACAATTGAAATGATGAATATTATTTATTTATTTCATTAGACTGACAGCTTCCTGGGGGTAGGGTCAGACTCTTACATGACATTTTATCCCAAGAATCCAGCACATTGCAGAGCAGGTACAAGTGCTCAGAACAAGTTAAGGCACTATCTTTCCTTGGTAAAGAGGCATTTACAAATGACACCTAAGGGTAGGTGAGCTTCAGGCCTTTCTAAGCTCTCCCTTGCTAAACTCCTTTGGGAGATTAACTTTGCCCTTTGGGTCAAAGGAAGTATTTGCCTTGCTTCAGGAAGTAACTGCTACCTTTGGGGTATGGAGACAACCAGGGGGAAGATTTTTTTTTTTTTTAAACCAAAACTAACATATGAGTGATTTGGGCTTGAAAAAATATTTTTTCTCATTTGTGAATTTATATCAAAAAATTCTGACAAAGTCTTATAAAAAGAGAAGAAAAAAAAAAACCCAACAGGACAAATATTTGAAAATTGGCCAGGCTTGGGAAATCTCATACTTATCTGGCAAGAAGGGCAATAACAAAAATAGCAGCTCCCAGAAAGGCGGCACAGAGGAGCTCTAGCTGGTTCCTCTAAAGATGAGAAAAGCTCCAGAGCTGGAAGGCACTCTATGGCTGCATTTGCTGACTTTGCAGACAGCAAGGTGAAAAAGGGAAGGAATAAACCAAAGAACAAAACCTATAGAAAGGCTGGGGGAAAGCAACAGCAAGGAACAGAAGTGGTAGGAATAAGAACGAGGGAAATGCCTGTCTACCTTTTGACCCAGAGGAGTACAGGGAGGTGGGGAGGGGCAGTATCCTGGGGACCCCAGCAGGCAGAAGTGTCTAACCTGAGGCCGTAGGTCTCCCAGCGGCCCAGGGCAGCCTGCAGCTGACATAATTGGACTGGGTATTCCCTCCCTGGAGAAGTGAGACGTGAATAAAACTGAAAACAATTAAAATGGTGGTGGGCTGCAGTCTCTTCCTGCACAGGAAAACAGCTAGTGCAACCTGAAGAGGGACACACATGAAGGAAGCAATGGAAAGCAGACTTTTGGTGGAGCTCATGGGAGCACTACGAGATCACATCCAGGAACTAAGGGAGAAAGAAGGCCAGAGAATGCCTCTTCTATACAGGAAATGTATAGGCTCACAGGGTTCACGTCAGCCCCTTTAGAGCTTGAAGCATCAGGAGGCTAGAAGCTGAGAGAAAGGAGGCTTGGATGGCTGCTAGAAACTGGGCAGAGTTTGAAGAGGAAAGAGAAAGCAGGATGGAGCTTCCTTTCAACATGGCTTGTATCTTCCATCCACATGTGGACTCTGGCTTGTCACCACCATACCTGCCTCTGCAGGGTGCGAGATGGGAAGCAGCTCAAGCCTGTTGCAATTCAGTTGCAGCGAAGCCTGTAACAATACCAAAAATCAATCTCAGTTAGAAAATATATAGCCTTTTTTTTGCCTTTGCATAGGGAATAACTTCAAAGGAATAAAATGCAATTAAAATCAGAAAGGAACAGATCAATAGATGACTTCACGATTTAAATTTTTTTTTTTTGAGACGGAGTCTCGCTCTGTCACCAGGCTGGAGTGCAGTGGTGCGATCTGGGCTCACTGCAACCTCTGCCTCCTGGGTTCAAGCAAATCTCCTGCCTCAGCCTCCCAAGTAGCTGGGACTACAGGCGCCTGCCACCACGCCCAGCTAATTTTTGTGTTTTTAGTAGAGATGGGGTTTCACCATGTTGGCCAGGATGGTATCGATCTCTTGACCTCATGATCCACCCACCTCAGCCTCCCAAAGTGCTGGGATTACAGGAGTGAGCCATTGCACCCGGCCGGCCCCACAATTTAAAACTTCTATGAGAAAAATTAAACAAAAATTAAAAGGCCATCTGGACAAATACACAGAAGTTTGACAAAAACTAATATTCTACTATAAGTAGCTGATACATACTAAAAGACTCTAAGAAAATACACAAAATAGGGAAAAGGTATAAACTGGTAACTGACAAAAGTAGAAATTCAAATGGGTAATATAAACAATGTTCAATGCACATTAAAACATGTTTGATGATAATAAAATATCAGATCAAAAAATTATATAATCTCCAATGCTGGCCAACGCATGACAACACTAAAAGATTTTCCAAGTGTGAATCAGTACCTCTCAGGAAAGCGGTCATTATATATCAAAACCTTTGACCTAGGAATTCTACTTCTAGGATTTATCATAAGAAAATAAAGATAAGACCATGCTCATCACAGCATTAGTTATAATCAGAAAAGCAGAGACAAAAGCAATTCCAAACTGTCCAACAGTAAGAGATGGGTTAAAAACATCCATTAATTTTCTTTTTAAGACACGGTCTTGCTGTTGCCCACAGTGGAGTGCAGTCACGTGATCTAGGCTCACTACAGCCTCCATGTCCTGGGCTCAAGCAATCCTCCCACCTCAGCCTCCCGAGTAGCTGGGACCACAGGCATGTGCCACCATGCCCAGCTAATTTTGCTATTTTTTGTAGAGACGGGGTTTTGCCATGTTGCCCAGGCTGGTCTCAAACTCCTGAGTTCAAGCAATCATTCCGCCTCAGCCTCCCAAAGTGCTGGGATTACAGGTGTGGGCCATCATGCCCAGCCTACAGTACATTTTACATTTGTCTGACTTTGGAGATTTTTGTCTTAATGCTAGGAAAGTATTTAAGCAGTTTTACTTTTTGTTTTTTTACTGTTCATTAAGATAAAAACTTTATATAGTTAAAAGTTTCACAAATAGACCAATTCACTTTACTGATTTTCACATCTCTTCAAGTTCTCCGCATGTGCTCTTGGACCCAGGTCATTTATGTCTGTTAGGCTTTGCTCCATCCTTCCCCAAGGACTTCTCCCCTGGCTCCCTAGCCTGAAAACATGCTAAAGTTATTCTCCTAACAAATATATGTATTTCCCAAAGTCCTGTCAATTGTCTCTTAATCTCCACAGTTTATGTGCCCTAGTTTATGACCTATTGCTTGGATGTGAGCAGGCTTTTAACTGATCTCCTCGCTTCTCAACAGGTTGCAGAATGATCTTCCTGAAATAGACTAATCAGGTTACTTCCTTAGAGCTACTTGTGAGCTCTCCTTTACCTACAGGAAGTCAAAGTTCCTTAACAGGGCAAGCAAAGGCCTGGGATGAACTGACCCCTCCTCTCTTTCCAAAACCACTGCCTCCCATCCCTTTTGACTATCCTCACTTTGCCTGTTAAAAATCCAGTAACATCCAATATGGTGCCATCAACCTGAGCTCTCCTTTTGCTCTCCTGTGTCTGGATTATCTTGTTTCTGCCTGGCTAACTTCTTTATCCTCATCCTTCAAGAATTAGTCTGCACTTAGAAAGCTTTTCCAGACCATTATCACCTCAGTGCCCACCCAACGTTTTGCCTGAGATAAGGATTCTCCTCTGTGCTCCCAATATTACCCTGTAAATAACTCTACCAGAGACCTTACCAGATGGCACTGACATGTTTTCATGTCTGTCATTCACTCCTCAAGTGCAGGAACTTGGAACTAGTAAAAAATGAGTGCTCAAATGTTTGTTGACATAAAGTCTGGATCTCAAATGGAATGTTTTAATGTAATTGGTTCCAATTTAGGTGTTTAGACTTTGGTTTTTAAAAAATATGAACTGGACCTTATAGTACTGGTATTGTTACTTTCATTTTACATGGAAGACAAACAATACATTTGATACAGCTTTTATCATCCAGCACTCACAGTCCAAAAACAAACAAAAACAACAAAAAATAGCCTAAAGGATTAATGACTGTCCTTTATTATTGCTGATAATTTTATACTTAGATTTTAGCTGGCATGTCTGTGGGTGACATAATTTTTTTCTTCTTGTAAACTACCACTATTTTGTCATTTTCGGTGTAGCTCACTACCCACCAGACCTAACACTATGTGTTTTAGAATCTTTGATTTCCTGTCCAAATACTATTCGTTTCTCCTTTTTCCATGCTGAAGGAGCTTTATACTTTGTACATAAGAGAGTATCATTTCCCCAAGATCCCCTTTTTCATCAGAGAGCAACTCGCCTTTCAGAATACGGCTTCTCCTGGTCAGCTCCAGATTCAGGCGTCAGCTCCAGTTCCTGCCTCAGCCTCCTGAGTAGCTGGGATTACAGGCACCTACCACCATGCCTGGCTAATTTTTGTATTTTTATAGAGACATGATTTCATCGCATTGGCCAGGCTTGTCTCGAACTCCTGACATCAGGAGACCCGCCTGCCTTGGCCTCCCAAAGTGCTGGGATTACAGGCGTGAGCCACCGCGCACAGCCGCCACTTTTATTTTATAAAAATACTGTCAAAGAATCACCTTAGCCTTTCCCCTGCGGCAACTGGTCTTGGAAAAACATGCTTTGTTTTCCCATGCTTAAGTCTTGAAAGTGTTCAATTCTTTATAGAAATAGCATTTCACACCATGGCAAAGGGGTTTAGAAACAAGACATACTAATTCACCTAAGTCTTTATTTATTTGGCTCTAGGAAGAATTTGCATGAAAATGAGCCTGTATGGCAGGTACAGAATGTACTGTAACAGCACCAGAGAGGTACATCCTCTCTCCTCTACAGAGCCTCAATGTTTAATACATACATGTGACTTTAGTCATAAAACCACATAGTCCAGGAAAAAAGGAGCCCTTTAGAAAAAAAAAATCAGTTTAGAATGACTTTCAAATTGACCATTCCTTTTCAAATACTTAAATTCAAATAACAGATACATTCAGAGGCCCAAATGTTGGCATAGAATAAAATCATGTTCATTTATTTTTTTCTGCATCTTAGAATTAGAAGGCATAAAATTAAATATGTTGAATGTAATAAATTCATCCATACAAGTGCAAGTCTCCAGATATAATGCATTTTATGGCAGATTTATTATTTTAAAAATGTACCAGTAAATCAAAAAAGAGGGAGTATGTCCATTTAACTTTTATTGAAGTGTATGTAGGAGGTCTTCAGAAATCAAATGTGAGCATGAAGATATGGCCAAACATAAAATCTATCAAATTCAGTGAAAAGTTGCTGACTTTAAATAGTAGTTGTAAGAATGACCAATATATATTCTTTGTTAACAACCCCTCACTCTATAGTAAAAAAAAAATAAAATAAAATAAACATTCAGTAAACATTCTTTCCTAAGGTAGTTTCCCTTATATAGCAGTGATTTATCCATTTCTTTGTATACACAAATTTGTTGAACATACCAATCAGTGGTTCTCACAATTGAAAAATAAAAGCACAAAAAAGTTTACACTCCTGTACAGGTAAATAAAAGATCACCTTGAATTAAACTGGATCTCCTTAAGGGCATAGTATAGTTTCAGTTTCATTACCTATTACATAATTAGTTTCTTACATACAAATATTGACATATTTGGCTTGTGCTTCGAAGCCTTTGTGTCTATGAAGTCCACATCAATGCAGCTCATAACTGGAAGTCACTGGGGAGTTCTTTGCTGCTGCTGGGTTTAACCTGATCATGCATTAGAGTCTCCTCAGCACCTGTTGTGGCTCTGCACACCTCTGGGGCATCGTCAGTGTCAGGATCCAAGCCTTCAGGGCAGGGAAGTTTCAGCAACTCTTCGCGGAGCTGAGCAGTGTGACGCTATGCAGGAGAAAAGGACTAATGTTAGAACTGCAAACCCTCTAGCACAACATCATTTGAGGCAGGAACTGAATTTCAACAAAGCCCAAAGCATTAAGCCTACAAATATTTACTGAGCCCCTCCTTATGCAAGCTACTGTTACAGGCACTTGATATAGTAGGTAAGCAAAACTGACAAGAATCCTTAACCTCAAAGTAACCGATGTTGCTGAAAAGACCTCAGTAACCCACCAGTAGATCCTACCCATGCTGCCAAGCTGTCACAGAAACAGCATTACTGACAATTTAAAGGACATTATTAGATACATATACTCTTTTTTTTTTGAGACGGAGTCTCGCTCTGTTGCCCAGGCTGGAGTGCACTGGCGCGATCTCAGCTCATTGCAACCTCCGCCTCCCGGGTTCAAGTGATTCTTCTGCCTCAGCCTTCTGAGTAGCTGGGAGTACAGGTGGGCGCCACCACAACCAGCTAATTTTTTGTATTTTTAGTAGAGATGGGGTTTCACTATGTTGGCCAGGCTGGTCTTGATCTCTTGACTGTCATCCACCTGCCTCGGCCTCCCAAAGTGCTGGGATTACAGGCGTGAGCCAATGCACCCGGCCTACATACATATATTCTCTTATTTTGTTTTAAGATAGCTCTGCTTTGTCATCCAGGCTGGAGAGCAGCGGCACAATCACAGCTCATGCAGCCTCAACCTCCTGGGCTTAAGCAATCCTCCCACCTCAGCCTCCCAAGTAGTTGGGACTACAGGAATGAAGCACCATGCCTAGCTAATTTTTTACACAGATGGGGTTTCGCCATTTTGCCCAAGCTGGTCTCAAACTCCTGGTCCAAGCGATCCACCTGCCTTGGCCTCCCAAAGAGCTGGGATTGCAGGTGTGAGCCACTGTGCCCAGCCTATACACTCTTTCAAATTAAACACCGTAATCCCTTGATTTGTCATACATGCTGACTCTGGCTAAACGTTTTTGAGAGAAAGACAAATCCGTAAATTAAAATAAATCCACTGATACTTTAGCGAATGAAAAAAATATTTATCAGGTAGTAGGCCATATGTAAAATGTCTGCAAATGTTCACACTAATTTTCCCACTTAATGCTCAGAATAAACCTTAGAAATAATTGTATCATTAGAATTTTTTTTTTTTTTTTTTTTTTTTTGAGAACAAGGTCTCACTGTGTCACCCAGGCTAGAGTGCAGAGGCACAATCTCGGCTCACTGCAAACTCCACCTCCCAGACGCAAGCAATTCTCATGCCTCAGCCTCCCGAGCAACTGCTATTACAGGCATGCACCACCATGCCCAGTTAATTTTTTTGTGTTTTTGGTAGAGACGGGGTTTTGCCTTCTTGGCCAGGCTGGTCTCGAACTCCTAATCTCAAGCAATCCACCTGCCTTGGACTCCCAAAGTGCTGGGATTACAGGTGTGAATCTGTACCCAGATTCACCCAGCCTATAGAACTGCACCCAGCCTATCATTAGAACTTTTTAAAAAATTAAGTTAAAAAGAAGATCATAGAATTTTAAAAAATTAAGTTAAAAAGATCATAGAAGAACAAAGAACTGCACCCAGCCTATCATTAGAACTTTTTACAAAATTGAGTTAAAAAGAAGATCTATAGAGATTAAATAAACTTTGCTTTGCTCTATATTGCAGTTTACGTAAGGATATAGGCATGTTAATTGGGAGTGGCTGGTTGTCTAACACATGCAAAGATTTGGTTCATAATTTTCTGGTGAGAGAGAAATGACCTTAAATAATCACACCAAAGGCTTTTAAAATTGTGTCGGCCGGGTCTGATGCCTCACGCCTGTAATCCCAGCACTTTCGGAGGCCATGGCGGGCAGATCACGAGGTCAAAAGATCGAGACCATCCTGGCCAACATGGTGAAACCCCGTCTCTACAAAAAATACAAAAATTAGCTGGGTGTGGTGGTGTGTGCCTGTAGTCCCAGGTACTTGGGAGGCTGAGGCAGGAGCATCGCTTGAACCAGGGAGGCAGAGGTTCCAGTGAGCTGAGATCGCACAGCACTGCACTCCAGCCTGGCAGCAGAGCGAGACTCCATCTCAAAAATAAAATAAAATAAAATAAATAAAAACTAAATAGTGTCAACAGCTGACTTTGAAAATTAAACAACATTTATTTACAGAACAATTTTTATGTATGAGGCACTGTGTTAAATACCAACAACATAAAGGCAATGAGTAGAATGAGGATAAAATCTTTAAGCTTATGGAGTCTAAAATTCTGGCTGAAATTATAAGACACATAAATAGGAAAAAACAACTCTACCTTGCAGCTATTTGCAAAGTTTCAAAGCACATTTACATGCCGGTAAGTGAGAATTTCCCTAGCCTTGATTTTCCTTCCACTGTGGACAACAGGTGAAATCACTAACCAGGGAAGGAGAAAGAAAAATCTGGCAATCATGAGAACTGAGTTAAGGTTGGGGATTGATCTAGTTTGGATATTTGTCCCTGCCCAAATCTCATGTTGAAATGTAATCCCTGTGTTGGAGGTGAGAGAAATGGGGATCATGGGGACAGTTTCCTCATGGATTGGTGCTGTCCTGAGATAGTGAGTGAATTATCACGAGATCGGGTTGTTGTAAAGTGTGGCACCTCCCACACCCCTACGCCTTCGTGATTCCGCTTCATCTTCCACCATGAGTATAAGGTCCTTGAGGCCTCTACAGAAGCAGAGTAAATGCCAGTTCCATGCTTCCTGTACAGCCTACAGAACCATGGGCCCATTGAATGTCTTTTTGTTATAAATTACCCAGTCTCAAGGATTTCTTTATAGCAAAGAAAGAACAGCCTAATACAGGGATACTATGATTTTATTGTGGAGTCAAGCTAAACAACTACATACTTTTCATTTATTTTTTAAGACAGAATTTTACACTCGTTGCCCAGGCTGGAGAGCAATGGCGCAATCTCAGCTCACTGCAACCTCCACCTCCCGGGTTCAGGCGATTTTCCTGCCTCAGCCTCCCCAGCAGCTGGGACTACAGGCATGAGCCACCACACTTGACTAATTTTTGTATTTTCTTTTAATAGAGTTGGGGTTTCACCATGTTGGCCAGGCTGGTCTTGAACTCCTGACCACAAGTGATCTGCCCGCCTTGGCCTCCCAAAGTGTTGGGATTATAGGCGTGAGTCACTGCGCCTGGCCAATTGTGTATTTTTCTTGTGTAGCACTCAACAGCAAATGTACAGTTAAAATGATATAAATTTGGATTAATTCAGAGATGGAAAATTCCAGGTGACAGTGACACAGAAGAAATAAAGGAATGCGGATATAAGCAAGACACTGAATGAAAAGAAGCTGGACTTGAGCCAGTTTTGTGTAAGTGAAAAACATATCTAAATACATATTTGGGGAAGATCAGCCTGGTAATGCACTAAAGAAGGAACTGAAAGGGGGAGAACCTGGTACAAGGAAGCTGGACAAACAGACAAAGCTGTGGGAACTCAACAGAAATCATGGGTTGGGGAGAGGACAGTCCCCTCATGAAGTAATACTGACAGGACCTAGTACTGACCAGGGGTGCTGGATGAAGGATGAGATACATAATACTTGAAGATTCTAAGACAGAGAAAAATGGTTTAAAATCAAGTAAAATTAAGTAAATAGAAAGCTAGAAAACTTGATTTGAGGAAAATCTCCTTTAAGGAGATGATGACAGGGTATCTATGTAAAAAATGTCAGTAATACAACTCAAGAGAAAGCTAACAGCTGACAACAGTTTGAAGTGTCACTTTTAGAGAGTAAATGGCCAAAGTCAGGGTTACAGACACAATGAAGGAAAAACAGAAAGACAGAAAAAAAATAGTTCTGAAGGCCAAAAAGTAAGCCTTCAGGTAAACAATTGCTCAGGAAAAAAGAAAAAGGAAAACACACTGAAAGAATTAAGAAGAGTATAAGCAGAAAAGCCAAGATAGTCTACAGATGAAAAGTATAGTACAAAAGACAAACATTAGACAAATGTTATGAGTGTTTTAACAGGTAGACGCAGAGGGTTAGAAATGCTTATACTGAAATGATCTAATAGTCTATCAGTCAGGCGGGGCGCGGTGGCTCACTTGAGGTCAGGAGTTCAAGACCAGCCTGGAGTTCGAGACCAGCCTGGCCAACATGGTGAAACCCCGTCTCTACTAAAAATGCAAAAATTAGCTGGGCATGATGGCAGGTGACTGTAATCCCAGATACTCAGGAGGCTGAGGCAGGAGAATAGCTTGAACCCAGGAGGTTAAGGCTGCAGTGAGCTGAGATCAAGCCACTGCACTCCAGGCTGAGCAACAGAGCAAGATTACATCTAAAATAAATAAATAAATAAAATAAATAATGAAAATAAAAATACAAAAGTTAGCCAGGTCTGGTGGCAGATGCCTGTAATCCCAGCTACTCAGGAGGCTGAGGCAGATAAATCACTTGAACAAGGGAGGCGGAAGATGCAGTGAGCCAAGATCATGCCTGAGTGGCAGAGAGAGACAGTGTCTCAGAAACAAACAAACAAACAAACAAACAAACCAGTCAAGGCAGGGTTCCATGAAGTGAAATTTAAGCTGAAATATGAATGGAGGTGAGCAAGCAGAAGAGCTGAAAAGTAGAGGAAAATGGAAACCATGTGTAAAGGCCTGGAGGAGGGAGAGCAGATGAAGTGAATGGAGAAGTGAGCCAGGGTCACTGGCGTTGAGAACTGGAGAGATGGTAACTTTGGTAAAATAGAAGTCAAACTGCATAAGGTTGATTAGTGAGACAAAGGTTAAAAAATGGAGGCAAGAAGTGTCAACTGCTATAGTCTGACGGTGAAAGAAGACAATCTGTTTCATAATAATAGGGGCAAAATAGAACTAGCTTAGGGAAATTTTCTGCAAGTGTTTTTCTCTCTTTTTCAAAACATTTTTATAGTGAAAAAATTCAAACATATGCAGAAGTGGGCAGAAGAGTACAATGAAGTCCCATGAATCTATCACACAGCTTCAACCATTATCAACTCATGGCCCATCTTCTTTCATCTATATTCCCACACTTTCCCCTTGTCATTTTATTTTGAAGTAATTCCCAGACATCATACACTTTGTCATTCACAAATATTTCTGTACATGTCCTGAAAAGATAGGGATCTTTTTAAAAATCACACCTAAAAAACTAACAAATCCTTATCATCAACTAGTTGTTTGAAGTGAAGACAGCTTTAAAGTTAGAAGATAACAAGCCAGTAGAAATGGAAAAACCTGAAGATAGAAAAGGGAGGATATTGGTGGAGGATGAAATGAGTAAAGACATTCAGATGCAGGAAAAAAGGAAGGCTGTTACAAAGAAAGATCTCCGTGGGTAGACAGAAAATCTTCCAAACCAATCACATTTCACATTTCCATTCTATGAACGTCCAAACTGAAAACAACTGCTTTCTCCCCTAACACAGCCACTGCCACCATCAGCTGAGGGAGAATCTGCAACTCAAATCTCCCTCATCACTCCAAGTAATAAAATTCTGGAAGGCAGGAGGCCTAGGGAAAGACTAAGGGAATAAAAGAAGTCCTTCAAGTCTGGCACGGTTGCTCATGCCTATAATTCCAGTGATTTGGGTGGCTGAGGTGGGAGGATCACTTGAGCCTAGCCTAGGAAACAGGGTGAGACCCCATCTCTACAAAATTGAAAATAAAAAAATTTAACTGGGCACTGTGGCAGCTACCTGTAGTCCTAGCTACATGGGAAGCTGAGGTGGGAGGACTGCTTGAGCCCAGGAGTTCAAGGTTACAGAGAGTCATGATGCCACCACTGCACTCTAGGCTGGGACAACAGAATGAAATCCAGTCTCAAAAGAAAAAAAGAAAAAGGAAAAGGCATTCATGGAGCACATCTTGTCATCATTATCTTCAAGGAACTTTACAAAACTCTGTTGTCTCAGTCCTTGGACCCACTTTTTATTTTAGGAACTGTCAATCTACTACCAAAAAAAAATGTATCTTTTCTATAGACTTCTGAGTAACAATTTATTCCTCTGAACTGAAAATACATATTATGTTTCTTTAATTCCCTCCCTCCCATTATCTTCTGGTAGGCATGGTTCTGTCAATAATTACACAACTCTTAAAGCAACAAGGCTCCTGTTAGAGAGGCTTACTCACCTTGAGAGCTGCTGCATGGTGAGACATAGTCCTGCCTACCCGCTTATCACTGCTGTACTGCTGGATATCCGCAATCCACTCCTCACATTGGGCCATTATCTCAACTCTTTTCAAGTAAAAATGTTTGTGTATTACCTTGAGAAAAAGTAAACAGGAGAACAAGCAGTGTTTACAGTCAAATTTAAAAGACACAGTAAATGACATTACAAAGAAGTAAAATGTATTATAAATACATTTAAATAATTTATTCTATAAATACATTTAAATTAATATTTAGAATATTATTATAAATACATTTAATGAAATAAATATACAGACACTGCAATGTTTTTCTATCCATAAAACTCAATTTGGGAGGCTGAGGCAAGAGAATGGCGTGAACCCGGGAGGTGGAGCTTGCAGTGAGCCAAGGTCGCGCCACTGCACTCCAGCCTGGGCGACAGAGCAAGCCTCCATCTCAAACAAAAAAAAAAAGGCAATTTAATCAACTCTACAATATTAGCAGGGAAAAATCAAGCTCATGATTTGATATGACGTGTTGAAATATATGAAATTTATGGCCCGGTGTGGTGGCTCACGCCTGTAATCCCAGCATTCTGGGAGATCAAGGCAGGCGAATCACAAGGTCAGAACTAAAAATACAAAAATTAGCCAGGCATGGTGGCAGGCACCTGTAGTGCCAGCTACTTGGGAGGCTGAGGCAGGACAATTGCTTGAACCCAGGAGGCAGAGGTTGCAGTGAACTGAGATCCCGCCACTGCACTCCAGCCTGGGCGACAGAGCAAGACTCCATCAAAAAGAAAAGAAAAGAAGAGAGGAGGGGAGGAGAGAAAAGAGAAAACAAATTTATAGCAGAAAAGAGTGTACAATTGTGGTCAGACACTTGGAAAATTAATCCTGTCCAGAGACCACAAGACACATATGATACAATATACTCAGAAGGCAAATGCTAAATAAGTAACCAGGCGAAAAGATTTAAAAAGTATTGACAACAGAGAAATTTCTGCCTTTAAAAGATAACTCAAAGAACACCTAGATAAGTATATTCTAAATGCCAAAGGCATTCACACAGAAATCCCCAGAAATGGCACTATTCTTACTTGCTTAATTTTATCTTCTGTTTAATTTATAGATGGGATTTTATTTTAGGAAGTTAAATTTCCTTATTATTACTGTGATTTACATTTGCGATTTTTAAATTCTATCTTTCAATTCTATCTTTGAAAAACTGAGTAAAATTTCTACCAACATATAGTAGTAAGAGTCTATTTCTGACAAATTTAAATTAGAAAACAATTATCAATTTGGAAACATTGCTCTGTATTCTGGTTGAGCATTGCCCAGGGAGCATGTCTGCCCTAAAGAACAGACAATCAAACCTATAAAGGGAAAATCACTAGAAAGCTCTGGGAATGAATGTCAAACACCAATACGATCCCACCACATTTAATAGTTATTGGGTTTGAAGCCTCTGGGATACAGAAGTAAGTATGACACAGCTTTAAATGAAGAACAGTGGTAACAACAGAATCAGATGGGACGGGAGTGTACCAAAAAAATATATTTTAAAGAACAACAATAAACAAAAGCAAAAAGCCCAGGGCATTCAAAGAGTAGCGAGTGGCATTTGATTAGGAAAACTGGGAAAGCATACATGGCCAAGGAGTGGCCCCTTTAACGCAAGCTAGGTTCTAAAGAATGAGAAAGTTGATTGTCTCAAATTATACATATTTGCTTTTTGTAAAAGTCATCCCCTTCTCTGAGTTCCCTGTGTTTATCCTTCCTGAAAAAAATGATATGCATAAAACAAATTACTTTTTTTTTTTTTTTTTTGAGACAGAGTCTCACCGTGCTGCCCAGGCTGGAGTGCCGTGGCGCGATCTTTGCAAAAGTAAAGTATCCAACTTTGTCATTCAAAGGACACTGGAATATAAATTTACTCAGTAACAGCAAAAGCCAAAGAAAAAGAAATATTCATCAGTGCTATCTGATGAAGGAGGTGGCTTCATAGTATTCATGTAGAACATCTGCATAGTTATATTAAAGATCAATTTTATATCAGGTAAATATACCATTTTTTCCTCTAAAATGTTAACTTTCCAGCACAATTTAAGAAATTAATGATCAAGTGAAACAATTTTAAGAAAGAAAAATGTTTCTGGACACAATCACAGCAAGTTGTGATGCTAACGTCATTTGATATGGCAGGTGAAAAGTATAATTCTATTTAGGTATACTATGGAGAGACAACTAATCACAGGCAAAAAGCTACACACACACACACACACACACACACAGAGCCACACTTCAGGATGACGTGAAAAAAACCACTTCAGTGTATTAATACAGGTTTTGGAAACTCATATCATCCAATTTTTTTCCTAAAGAAAAGGAAACGTGGCCAGGCGCAGTGGCTCACGCCTGTAATTCCAACAGTCTGGAAGGCCGAGGCGGGCGGATCACCTGAGGTCAGGCATTCGAGACCAGCCTGGCCAACATGGTGAAAACTGGCCTCTACTAAAAAATACAAAAAAAATTAGCCAGTTGCGGTGGTATGCGCACACAGTCCCAGCTACTCGGGAGGCTGAGGCATGAGAATCACTTGAACCGGGGAGGCGGAGGGTGCAGTAAGCCGAGATTCCGCCACTGTATTCCAGCACAGGCAACAGAGCCAAGTCCTATCTCAAAAAAATAAAAAAAAGAAATGGCATTCTCCTTATATATACACATTAGAATAAGGGCAAAATTTCTATTTGCAAGACAACTTTAGAAACCATCTTCAATAAAAAACAGTTCAATGAGAAATATATCAGAAACATATTTAGAGAGTTTGCTAGTAGAAGGGTAACTAATAAAAATAAAGAATAGGCCGGGGCGGTGGCTCACGCTTGTAATCCCAGCACTTTGGGAGGCCAAGGCAGGTGGATCACCTGAGGTCAGGAGTTCAAGATCAGCCTGGCCAACATGGTGAAACCCCGTCTCTACTAAAAATACAAAAAAATTAGCCAGGCGTGGTGCCACATGCCCGTAATCCCAGCTACTTGGGAGGCTGAGGCAGGAGAATAGCTTGAACTTGGGAGGTGGAGGTTGCAGTGAGCCAAGATCATGCCATTGCACTCCAGCCTGGGCAACGAGAACGAAACGGGATGGGACAGGAGGAAAGGAAAGGAGAGCAGAGGGAGAGGAGAGGAAAAGGAAAGGAAAGGAAAAAAACTTCTCAAAAATTTAGTCAGATGTCTTTTAGAATATAGATAGTTTTATACTTCATCTGTACTATCTACTACCATTTTTTTTTTTTCTGAGACTCTGTCACCTAGGCTGGAGTGCAGTCATGTGAACACAGCTTACTGCAGCCTCAAACTCGTGGGCTCAGGCAAACCTCCTGCCTTAGCCCACTGAGTATCTAAGACTACAGGTGCCACCATGCCCAGCTAAATTTTTAAACTTTTTGCAGAGATGGGGTCTTGCTATATTGTCCAGACTTATTAATGATCTTTGGGATTAACTCTAAAACCTGCAGTTTCATATACTAGATACATATAAAGGCAAATAGAATACTAACAAACTATATTTTAAAATGTCTTTTTTTTTTTTTTTTTTTTTTTTTGGAGATGGAGTCTTGCTCTGCTGTCACCCAGGCTGGAGTGCAGTGGTGCAGTCTCAGCTCTCTGCAACTTCCGCCTCCCAGGTTCAACCTCACGTTCCAAGTAGCTGAGATTACAGGCGCCTGCCACCATGCCTGGCTAATTTATCTTTTTCTTTTTTTAAGTAGAAATGCGGTTTCGCCATATTGGCCAGGCTGGTCTCAGACTCCTGACCTGAAGTGATCCACCTGCCTTGACCTCCCAAAGTGCTGAGATTACAGGCATGAGCCACCATGCCCAGCCTATATTGTAAAATGTCTTTAACAAAGTATTTCACTAATTTTATTGAACATACCTCTTTAAAACATGGTGAAGGGTTTCTGATTTGTTCTAGCATTGCCCACTTAACTGTTGCTTGTCGAATGTTTCCATCATATTCTCGAGAACTCTGTGTGCCACTGGGAGTGCCTCTAGACCGTTCATATCCCGGTTCATTAAAATAAGGCTCAGCTACTAATATAAGGGACTGGACAGACACCAACACCTAAAGAATAAAGGAAAAGAACAGCTATGATGGGACATTTTTACTGTGGGTTAACTGATATCCTGCTTTATCCACAAAGACTCTTCTTTAATATGTGTTTCCACAAATTTCTATCACAATAAAATCAATGTTTATGATTATAACATTGAAATATTTCATTATAAAGGCAAAATAAAATTAGGCACAATAGAGCCATAAGTAATACTTACACATCTGTTTTTACTCTTGAATTCTTGAATAATAATAGATATGAAGATAGATGATAATAATAATAATAGATATGAAGAATCTATTTCCAAAAAATGCTAAAAAAATTTCGTTTTTTTAGTTTAGTTTATTTTTTTTTTAGTTGTTTTATGAGTTTAAACAACTCATAGCAACATTCTGCTCAAACTGTTCTTAAGGAGCATAAAACTAGCCATGTACTATTTTTTTTTTTTTTTTAATAAGACTGAGTTTCACTCTTGTCACCCAGGCTGGAGTGCAATGGCATGATCTTGGCTCCCTGCAACCTCCGCCTCCCAGATTCAAGCGATTCTCCTGTCTCAGCCTCCCGAGAATCTGGGATTACAGATGCCTGCCACCACGCCAGACTAATTTCTGTATTTTTTAGTAGAGATGGGGTTTCATCATGTTGGCCAGGCTGGTTTTGAACTCCTGACTTCAGGTGATCTGCCTGCCTCGGCCTCCCAAAGTGCTGGGATTACAGGCGTCAGCCACTGTGCCTGGCCTAGCCATGCACTCTTAACAATACTCACTTATAAAAAAACTATGCCTGAGACCATTTTAAATTTTTATTCCAAGGACAATTAACTGCTACAGTATCACAAAAACCTTATTAGAAATTCTTATTTATTTCTTTGAGATGGAGTCTTGCTCTGTTGCCCAGGCTGCAGTGCAATGGTACAATCTTGGTTCATTGCAACCTCCGTCTCCTGGGTCCAAGTGATTCTCCTTCCTCAGCCTCTCAAGTAGCTAGGACTATAGGCGTGCATCACCAAGCAGGGCTAATTTTTTTTTTTAATTTTTAGTAGAGACGGGGTTTTGCCATGTTGGCCAGGCTGGTCTCGAACTTCTGACCTCAGGTGATCTGCCCACCTTGGCCTCCCAAAGTGCTGAGATTACAGGTCTGAGCCATCATACCCGGCCAGAAATTCTGATTGACAAGATGGTCTTATGGTCTAAGACCACTTCCAAACCACCACTTATTTACTAGAAGGCTTGTCCCAGATGTAACATATATTAAGAGAGGTGATTTCTAGCGAATACAGTACTTCCAGTTAATGTATCTATAGAAGTCAATAAAGTAACATCTTTGAAGGCAGGAAAACATCAGATATTATCTACGCAATTCATAAATGAAAAAGAACAGCAATTACACTTTTGTTGGGCACAACGATTAAACAGTCCCATGGATATGCATCTTATAAGTCAAAGTTAAAGAGAACTTTAAAAATGAGTACTCGAAAGTAACGTATTTGACCCAAAATAGAAAGTGACCATACTGATGCCAAGCTCAACTATGGGAAAAACTTTAATTCATATTATTTCTGAGATAAAGATCTCATATTTTTAATTTTTATTTATTTATTTTTTTGAGACAGTGTCTTGCTCTGTTGCCCAGGCTGGAGTGCAGTGGTGCGATCTCAGCTCACTGCAACCTCTGCCTCCCGGGTTCAAGCAATTCTTCTGCCTCAGCCTCCCAAGTAGCTGGGGTTACAGGTGCCCGTGACCCCATCCCGCTAATTTTTGTATTTTTAGTAGAGATGGGGTATCTCCATATTGGCCAGTCTGTTCTTGAACTCCAGGCCTCAAGTGATCTGCCTGCCTCCCAAAGTGCTGAAATTACAGGCAAGAGTCACCTCGCCCGGCCAGACATCTCACATTTACTGACACTTCTGAGGTAAGTTTCAAAGGCATAGTTATTAGTTACTGTCCTCTTCCCTCTTAAATAATTGTCCTCTTCTGTTAATATAAGTAGGGTATAATTGCATTTTTGTACAAAAGCACAGAAAGAAATTAAATATTCATTACAAATTTATAAAAAAGGACTCTTTTATTTATTTAACCTCATCTCCTTTGAGACACAATATGGTTTTATAGATCTCAGTCAGTTATAACAATTTAAAAATTACTTTAGATTCACGGCGTATTTTGTTTAAAACAGCAAAGCAAAGCCCACTAAAGGAAGCATAAAATATTTTGCAGACGCTGGGGCCTATTTGATGGTGAAACGTGGGAGGAGGGAAAAGATCAGAAAAAAATAACTACTGGCTGGGCACGTTGGCTAACGCCTGTAATCCTAACACTTTGGGAGGCTGAGGCAGACAGATCACTTGAGATCAGGGGCTCGAGGCCATCCTGGTCAACATGGTGAAACCCTGTCTCTACTAAAAATACAAAAATTAGCCGGGTGTGGTGGTGCATGTCTGTGATCTCAGCTACTCAGGAGGCTAAGGTGGAAACACAGCTTGAACCCGAGACGCAGAGGTTGTAGTAAGCCAAGGTTGTGCCCAGCCTGGGCCACAGAGTGAGACCCTGTCTCAAAAAAAAAAAAAAGAAAAGAAAAGAAAAAGAAAAAAGAAAAAAGAAAAAAATAACTATTGCATACTACGCTTAGTACCAGAGTGACAAAATAATCTGTATAGCAAACCCTTGTGACGTGAGTTTACCTATATAACAAACCTGCAGTGGAACCCCTGAACCTAACATAAAAGTTAAACAAAAAAGAATGAGTGTTTTGTGTACCAGAAAAAAGGAACAAAAAATTACATCTGAGAAATAAATGTGGCTATAATTTATTGTCTGCTGAGAGAAAAATATAAAGTTTGTATTTGATAAGAATAACAACAAAAGATTATCAGAGATCAATACTTCCTGCAATTAAATTCAAAAAATACTTTATGACATGGGTTATCTTACCACTGGGTGGCCCAGCAGACATTACCTTTTTGGAAGAGTATAAATGCCACTTTATTTTTCAATAGTGAACTTAGCTATTTAATAGCTATAATACATATTTTAGGGAATTTCTGGACCACTGGATTGTCTGAACTGGACACAGTCATTTTAATGCACACTACATTTTACTGTAGGCCGGAAATAAGCAGAGAAACAGTAAACCCTTGGCATGAAGGATTTCCTCTTTTAAAAAAATCTGATTTTCAGTATTATAAAATAAAACTTTAGGCCTGAGAAACAGTGTACAATATTTGAAGTCATAGGGATCACAGTAAAGTTATCTGTACATTTAGAACCTATATTTTCATCATCTGTAAAAGGGGCATAAGATCTACTTGTGTTACAGGATGAATGAGAGAATTACATAACTTTATAATATAGAACAAAATCAATTCTACACTAAAAATAATTTCTATAAATATATTAGAGGCATGCAAAAAAGCAGCCAGCATGAACTGTCTGATCAACAGAACGTCACTTAAAAAGCTATTTGGATCAAACCAAAAAGTAGTATTTATTTTACTTATACCAAGCTAAAGTGTTTTCTTAGAATCTGAGTTAAAAATCAATTGGTAATTAACATAAAAACATACAGTATATATGATATATATATACATATATTTATATTGATGTAATAATAAATATTTATTTTTAATCCATAATGTAGGCTCATGATTTGAGTCAATTTGTTGATATTTTCAGAGTAAAGACTTTTATTCACAGGCCAAATTTACTGTCCCTTTCGTTTTTATTTATTGATTTTTATTTTTTAGATAGAGTCTCCCTCTGTCACCCAGGCTAGAGTGTAGTGCCGTGATCTCGGCTCACTGCAATCTCCTCCTCCGGGGTTCCAGCGATTCTCCTACCTCAGAGGCGCCTCCTAGTAGCTGGGATTATAGGCACGCACCACCTCGTCCGGCTAATTGTATTTTGTATTTTTAGTAGAGATGCGGGTCTTACCACGTTGGCCAAGCTGGTCTCGAACTCCTGACCTCAAATGATCCACCCATCTCAGCCTCCCAAAGTGCTGTGCCAACACACCTGTGCCCCCTCTCCTTTTCAGCTTCATGTTAGCATCTGCACAACTGTAAGAGGCTCTCATAATCTGTTCAGGAACAGAAATCAAGAAACACAGGTAACGGTGGGCACTGCGCCTGGCCTGGAATTTTTTTTGATGGGAGTTTTGGCTAAACTCAATTTTTGTTTTATGCCCCAACTTGAGATTTTAGATTACACATAAGATGAGACTCCATTATGCTAACTTCTCACCTATAAGCTATTTAATATGCATTTCCTAGTAATCTATCTTTTTTTAGGTTTACTATATTTATTCTTGGTCACTAAAAATTTTTTAAAATACTACACAGTTCTTTATTTCTTAAGTGAAAATGTCAGAGAAATTTTGTTTACTTGCAAAAAGCTTGAGGTCTGAGGATTCCACTTCTCTTCTGGTCTTCCATGCCACGTGTTTAAGATGCTTAAACAAACCTGACGAACGAAAAAAGCATAAACAGAATTGAAAAAAGAGTGCTTAAAAACAAACTGTCATAACGAGAAGTAAAAACAAAATGCTATCCTGTCAAAATATCTCAGTTTTATATGTCCCCTAGATAAAACCCTAAGGGTTGTCTGTTAAAACAAATTGGCATCTTCAGATGTGATTCAAATTTGTGAGGCATTATAACTTTTTCATAATGCAAAACAGACCAGCACCTATTATATGTCAACACAAATAACATTTTAATGAAAACTAAATTATTTAAAAAGCAAAACATTTTTAATTAGCACATAGTTGTACATATTTATGGGGTATAGTGTGGTATTTCAATATGTGTATACAATGTGTAATGATCAAAATAGGGTAATTATTGTATCCACCGCCTCAAACCTTTGAGTGTTGGTAACATTCAACATCCTCTCTTCTAGCTGTTTGACAAAATACAATTTTTATTTACTACAGTCACCCTACTGTGCTATACAACAACAGAACCTATTCCTCCTATCTAGTTGTAATTGTGTATCCATTAACCAACCTCTCCCTATTCCCTCCTCTCTACCTTTCCCTCCCAGCTTTAGTACCACTATTCTACTCTCTACGTTGATTGAGATCAATTTTTTTAGCTTCTACGTGAGTGAGAACATGCAATATTTATCTTCCAATGTTTGATGTATTTCACTTAACATAATGTCCCACCAGGCTCATCTATGTTGCTATGAAAGAAAGGATCTCATCCTTCTCATGGCTGAATAGTATTCCACTGTGTATAACCAAGTTTTCTTTATCCATTCACCTGTTGATGGCCGCTAAGTTGATTCTGTATCTTGGCTATTCTGTATGGTGCTGCAATAAACAGCAGTGCAAATATCTCTTCGAGATTCTGATTTATTTCCCTTGGATATATATTCAATAGTGGGACTGATAGATCATATGCTAGTTCTATTTTTACTAAAATAACTATTTTTAATAAAAGTGGTACTATTTTATATTTTTGTGTATTTCTTTCTAAATTCTGAAAATGCAAAATAGCTTAACAGAAGAGACCTTGATTTAATTATCTGCCTCTACATTCAACTAGTTGCAATATACTCCTTTGATTCAAGTATATGGATCAAATCTAGCCTCACGCAAACAGACCCCCTAAAAGAGTATTCAGGCTTCCCAGGGTTCCTCAAAATATACTTAAAGATAACATTAGATACTTACTCACTTAGCAGGAAGAGAACTGGGGACACTTAATCTGCACCTGTAACTACTCTTGTAATAAAAACAAAACTGGGCCAATCACATGTGTTCTTCTGGCATATATTCTATCAACATAAAATATACTCATCAGATTTTGTACACTTTTAATAATTTAATAATTTTATATAATGGCCAACAGATTTGGATAATAGGTGGTTCTTTTTTTTTTTAGACAGAATTTCGCTCCTGTAGCCCAGGCTGGAGTGCAATGGCACAATCTGGGCTCACCGCAACCTCCGCCTCCCGGGTTCAAGCACTTCTCCTGCCTCAGCCTCCCAAGTAGCTGGGATTACAGGCATGTGCCACCACGCCCAGCTAATTTTGTATTTTTAGTAGAGACGGGGTTTCTCCATGTTGGTCAGGCTGGTCTAAAACTCCCGACCTCAGGTGATCCACCCGCCTCAGCCTCCCAAAGTGCTGGGATTATAGGCATGAGCCACCACGCCCGGCGTAGGTGGTTCTCGTAAATGCAGAAAGGTCTGTCTCCTTACTACTCTTTCAATGCTCTGTGAAAGCAAGAACGCAAAATACGTTAATTCATTCAACAGGTAGTTGATTAATAATTTAATGAGTTGTATCTGTGAAGTCTTGTGTATTATTCAAAGTGCTGTCATACATATACCATTTGACCTTTAGTGCAAGCTTGTGCAACCCGCAGGCCACATGCGGCCCAGGATGGCTTTGAATGCAGCCCAAAACAAAATCGTAAAGTTTTTAAAAATATTATGAGATTTTTTTGCTATTTTTCTTTAAAGTTCATTAGCTATATTGTTTGTGTTAGCGAATTTTTGTGTGGCCCAAGACAATTATTCTTCTTCCAAAGTGGCCCAGGGAAGCCAAAACATTGGACAGCCCTGCTTTAGAGCATTCTTGGGACTAACAATGGCAGATATGTAGCCTCATACCTATCTGTAGATATAGGACCTAAGATTAAATGCTAACAGTGTGTAAACTTTAAAAATAAGTCCACAATTGTGTGTATCAAGGAACACATCGGTAAGTATGATGGTAAAAGACCATTAATTTAAGATTCCCAAGCCCTTACCCTCTTCTCTATGCAACGAAGCCTTGAGAATTATTTTCTTAAATACATCTTAATATTTTACACTTACACTCTATTCAAGTTCCAGTGTCTCAAGTAAAGTCAATGTTGCTATTTCCTCTTCCCTACTCAGCTACAGAAAACCTGTTCTTTGTTCTTCCAAAGAAAGTTCTGCCTCTGGTCAAATCTTTTGCAACAAACCCAAAAAACTAATTCTAGTTTTATGATTTGAGCTAATGATAATTTGCAACCACATATCTGCCACATATCTGAGGCAGGCTGTACCTTTTGAAATTCTTCTCTTCTAGATTTTAAAACATTGAATACTCAGCACAGAATTTACCATTGAAATTCTATCAAAGTATCCAAAATACCTCTGAAAAACAGATTACTCTTTTAAATCTAATTTTAAAAGGTTTATGGTCATATGAGATGATTTTTATTATGTCTTTTGGTCAGCTTTTTTGTAAATGGAAATGCATCTTCCTACTTTTAATATAAGAAAATGTAAAAACACTTGAATATAAGGTACACCTTAAAATAAGTTCCTAATAGCATGTATCATAGAACTTTACGTTAAGTCCCCGAGTAACTTCTTAAGACTGTAAGTGCTTCTTAATTAACACTTAACTGTTTCTGCTCTTTTCAGTTCCTTCTATTGCTTAAGCTAATCTGGACGTAGGGAAGAGAAGTACAAAGAAACCCATGCCCTCTTAGCAGATAACTAAAACAAAATTTTTCTTCAAATTACAAAGAACCTTTGTATACAATCATTGGCATTTGAAACAAAAAATTGCAATTAATTTACCTTGCCATCATTATAAAGGTTTGGATTGAATCGCACGCTATGACCACCAGTTGTCTCTAGATTCACAAGAGGGGGTGAACTGGGATAATCTTGAGGAAAATACACATCAAACTCAAAGCAGCCATTTGCATAAGGGGTGTCCGCTGGACCAGTTATTAGAACCTGGATATATATAAACATACAAAAGTCTATGTTAACATTCCTAAACACTGATATTTAGAAAAATACAATCCAACATGAAATAAGAACAACCTTCGTTTTTGGAGATGGAGTCCCACTCTGTCGCCCAGGCTGGAGTGCAGTGGCGCAATCTCGGCTCACTGCAACCTCCGCTTCCTGAGTTCAAGCAATTCTCCTGCCTCAGCCTCCTGAATAGCTGGGAACACACGTGCCTGCCAACATGCCCGGTTAATTTTTGTATTTTTAGTAGAGACCAGTTCCCCATGTTGTCCAGGCTGGTCTCAAACTCCTAGCCTCAAGTGATCCGCTTGCATAGGCCTCCCTAAGCACTGGGATTACGGGCTTGAGCCACTGTGCCTGGCCAAAATAAGAACAGCTTTTTTTTTTTTTTTTTAAGACAGTCTCACTTGGTGGCCCAGGCTGGAGTCCAATGGTGTGATCTCGGCTCATTGCAACCTCCACTTCCTGGGTTCAAGAAATTCTCCTGCCTCAGCCTCCCGAGTAGCTGAGATTACAGGCATGCACCACCATGCCTGGCTAATTTTTGTATTTTTAGTAGAGATGAGGTTTCACCACATCAGCCAGGCTGTTCTTGAACTCCTGATCTCAACTGATCTGCCTACCTTGGCCTCCCAAAATGCCAGGATTACAGGCATGAGCCAGCATACCAGGCCTTTTTTTTTTTTTTTTTTTTTTTTTGAGATGGAGTTTCACTCCACCGCCCAGGCTGCAGTGCAGTGGCGAGATCTCAGCTCACTGCAACCTCCACCTTCCAGGTTCAAGCAATTCCCCAGACACAGCCTGCCAAGTACTGGGATTATAGGTGCCTGCCACCACAGCCAGCCAATTTTTGTATTTTTAGTAGAGACGGGGTTTCACCATGTTGGCCAGGCTGGTCTGGAACTCTTGACCTCAAGTGATCTGCCTACCTCAGCCTCCCAAAGTGCTGGGATTACAGGCATGAGCCTATCCAAAAAATCAAAAGAAGCAAGCAAACAAATAAAACTTTCTACAAGTCAATGGGCCAATAGTTTTAGCTGCGTATCTATGGAAGACAGAATGTTTAACCCATGAATTAAATCATAAATATAAAGAAAGTTTTCTTTTTCGGGTTAAATGTTTAACATTTTCTTGATGCAGCAGACTCTTGGAATTTAAGGCCAGATTATCACGTGTTAAACATAAAAGTAGAGATTATATATTATTGTATTACCTATAATTCACAGATGTTAGGAATTTAAAAAAAACATAAATTTCCTAGAAAAGACAGAAAATGACTAAGTTTTGAAGAGTGACACTAAAAAACATGAGAGAAGTATCTTGGATGACAAAATGGAAATCCTGTAACATTTTTTAACTGATCAGCATTAAATCCTTTGATATTGTGACCAGCTTCACACAATCTTTGCTCAAGGATGATGGCTCTTTTGATATTTTCTAAATGTTTTTTTCAACAGCAGCGTGATCCACACACTCTGAACTAACATTAGAAAAGGGCTCTTTGTGGAGGCTGCAGTGAGCTGTGATCACATCACTGTACTCCAGCTTGGGCAAAAGTGAGATCCTGTCGCCAAAAAAAAAAGGGGGGGAGGGGTGGGGAGGCTCCTTTCACTGCCGTCTAAAAATGGTCACCAAAATTTCTAGTGTTTTGTATAATTTATTTGTATAGTATTTCCAGTTTTGTATAAAAATTTGAGTAATTAGATGAGCCAAGGAGATAAGGGAGAGTGCTTTATTATCATTATTTTTTACCTTCATGATATCAAGTCGCTCCTCATCACAGCGTACAAACACACTAGAGGATGAAGACAGAGGCAGTGAGGTTGAAAGCGTCACAGCTTCCTGGGCAAGGCGGCGAGCTCTGGCAGCACTGTTCGCATCATTAGCATTTTTCACCTGAGACATGTAGTGGTAATTTACTTTAAATCCCAATTTCCCATCTTCATCTTCAGAAACCATTTCAAACGTATCTAAAAGGAGAAGAAAAAATAAAACCCAGAACTGCAAAAAATTGTTATAATGACAAAAATCACAAACAATCACTAGTCCTTCTCCCACTCAACTGGAGAGAACTTCCAACCATGGAAGAATAGCAAAAGTGTAAATGTTTACATAACACCTATATATTAGCACTGCCAGATGGATTAGCACTGCCAGATGGATGGACTCTTGTCTTTCACATGCTATAGGGATACATTTTCTTTAACTTTTATAAAAAACAATCTAACAGATGCAAGAAATGGGCCCATTACTATGCCCAGTGGGAAAATTTTATATCATATAGAGGACAGGGTCTATTAACTCAAAGATTTCATTAAATAAATGATTCAATCAAAGACAATGGCTACTTGATAAAACATGCACAGCCTGTTTTAATCAATCATTTCTCTTCTGTTAATTCATCCTACAGAATTAATCCTGGATATGCACAAATATTTACAGGTAATGAAAGCCACTGAGATGTTGCATATGATATTTAAATACTGGAAACAAACTAAAGTTCCACTTACTGGTTAAACAAATGGCAGCCAATCATATTATGGAATTTTAGGCAGTTAGTAAGTATCAAGTTGTAAAAGAATGATACTAGAAAATGTTTGATACATATGGTTGAAAATGCAGTTTCTTATGAAAGCATCAACTGAAAACTTGCATGTTTTCAGACTTATTTTGAAAGCCAATGGGGAGCAAACTTGATTATGTTTAAAGTCACATACTTGGAGAGTTTATGATTTTATGTAGTATGAGAGAACTCTTCTAGCTAGCTAACATTAATGAAGGGGTCTGGACATATGATTCTAAATTTCTGACAGGTAGTAACTTTAAACCAGAATCTCTCACACATAAGGATCCATAAACACATTCATATACATGAAATGACTTTCTGGATTGAAAGAACTAGTTAAAGAATTTGTAGATATGAAATATGACTAAACGCCTTCAAGTACAAGAACACTGCCATGTATTTTTAAAAGCCATTAGCTGACATATTTTTGATGACCCAGGAAGCGGAACGAAATCTAAAGCCCAATAAAATATTTATGTCCAACAGAAACACACATACACAAACATATGTCTGGAAACTCTTTTCTGACACTCTTCCCCTCCCCTTGAGTGTTGGCTGGACTTAGTGAGTGATGCTGTACACTTTCTAAGACAAGGTCATAACAGGCACTATGGCTTTTTCTGAATTCCTGACCCATGTAAAGAGTGAGATAATAAAGGTCATGATTTTTTTTTTTTTTTTTTTTTGAGATGGAGACTTGCTCTGTCGCCCAGACTGGAGTGTCTCAGCTCACTGCAACCTCCACCTCCCGGGTTCAAATGATTCTCCTGCCTCAGCTTCCTGAGTAGCTGGGGTTACAGGCGCCTGCCACCATGCCCAGCTAATTTTTGTATTTTTAATAGAGATGGAGTTACACCATGTTGGCCATGCTGGTCTCAAACTCCCGACCTCGTGACCGCCCACCTCGGCCTCCTAAAGTGCTGGATTACAGGCGTGAGCCACCATGCCCGGCCAGGTCAGTTTTTTAAAGCAAATAAGTTACAGGGGTAATTTATGTGACAATATATAATATAGAACTATTTGATAAAATAAGCCATAAAAAACCTTGGTAATTGCTAATTAAATTCATATAAATGAAATAAAGTATTTGGTTTTAGTACTTTAATACACAAAGGAATTTTCAATAAAATAATAAATTCAATAAAATATTTATTATTTAAAAACCAAGTTAATATTATTACTTAGAGTGAAGTTAACAGACTAGATTGCCAAGCTGAGTCAGGCAAAAGGCTGTAATATCATTAGACACTGACCAAAACTCTTAACAAAAGTATAAATCACTTTCATATATATTATCTCTTGTGCTCTTTATGGCAAACCTGAAAGTAAGTAGAGCAAAAGCTAAATGATTTATAATGAGGTTTCAAAGACAATATGACAAAAATCTGTTTTCTGAATCCTACTTTAGCATTTAAAAAAATACAGTCCAAGATTTTTAGGTTGTTTCTCAAGGATGAAAAAGCAGCATAGACAATAATAGTTAATAATGGTCATCAAAATTTGGTATGTGTTTTCTCATAAATCAGAACCATATAAAGGGTACTGATATAATCTTTTTGCCAGTTCTTACTTGTCAAGAGTTTTGGAATGGGAAAAGCTAGAACTGAACTATGTATAACTACATTTTCTAAAGGTGAATTGCAAGGAAATCTAAAATGGCAAGAGTAACAGACTTAGTTCAAAGTTCTGGGTCTTGGCTTCCTTCAGGCCAGGATGTACAGAAATGAAGAGGTAAATAAGGAAAAACATTTTCTGCCTGTTTTGTAGACACTTGGCTTGGATTTATTTTTTCTAGGCTCTTACAGTCCTTCTATTGAAGTCACAGTTTATAACTAAAAATACAGACATAAATTCAAGAGGCAAAGATGATAAAAAATGTTGATATGTATGAAGTAAAATTCATGTTACAAGCAATTTTAAAAATCTTTAATTTGCTAAAACACATTTCAATAGCACTGTTAAAAAAAAATGGAAAGTGAGATCTTAAGCAAATCAAAAATTTCATCTTACCAAACTGTAATTTCTTCATAACAGCCACATATTTTTCTTCAAGTGACTTTAATACTGACAAAGGTTTGGGTTTCATAGCCGCCTTCTTGGAGTATTCACCCAGTTTTTTTTCTGTTATTTAATATTTCAAGATAAATAACATATACATTTTAAGTATATATTTTAAAAAATAAAACTAAAAAGAATTCACCTCTAGAGTTCAAATTGTGAATTCCAAAAAATTGTCAACTTCTTCACAATTATCTTATTACAACCGCTCTGAGAATAAAAAATTTCTATTTCATAAACATAACAATAACATAAACATAACAATAAAGCAAAAACATAATCATCTTTATGAAAAGAGGAAGTGAAACAATAGATAATTCAGATCACTTTCTTCAGCTAACATAGGAAAATATCTATCCATCCGTCCATCCATCCATCCATCCATCCATCCATCTATCTGGAAACAGAGTATTACTCTGTCTCCCAGGCTTGGAGTACAGTGGTGCAATTACAGCTAATTGCAACCTCAACTTCCCAGGCTCAGGTAATTCTCCCACTTCAGCCTTCCAGGTAGCCGGGACCACAGGCACACGCCATTATGCCCACCTAATGTTTCCTGTATTTCGTAGAGACGGGGTTTCACCATGTTGCCCAAGCTGATCTTGAACTCCTGAGCTCAAGTGATCTATCCATTTAGTCCTCCCAAAGTGCTGGGGGGGTTAAAGGCGTGAGTCACTGCGCCAGCCAGAGATATCAATTTAAACTAAATTCTCACCCATAGTCTTAATGTACTATTTTCTATCTAATATAAAGGCATTTTTTCAATTTCATGAATTTCAGGGGGAAGAAATATTTATAATGTATGTTCTCAGCCTACTAAATTTAGCAATCATATATAGTAGAAATGTTTAAAAATTAGACTATACATGATTGAAATCAGATAAAGAACAAAATCTAACAGAGAACAAAATTTTTAGGTAAATGAACTTGCTTTAAAATCATTAACATAAAGCAAAAACACAAAGGCAGGTTTCAGTAAGTAAATGAAACATCTTTACATCAAATGAAAAGTGGCATAATAGGAAAAGTTTTGTACCCTGATTTGCTTGCCGCAAACTGGTGGTGGCTGCATAAACTATCTCAGCAGTCTTTTGGATGTCTGGTACCAAAAGAGTAAGTCCTTCTGGTTCTTGATCAGACGCATCTGGTTTTACTCCTGTTTTAACATTTTCCCTTTTAGATCTGAATTTTTTTAATATGGAAAGAAAAGCAAGGAAAATTAAGATTTTAGGACTAAAACACCTCCATAAATCAATATACAAATGAGTGTGTGCATTTCATTTGTCACACACATGATCTATATTAACTTGCTTTTGAAGCCACTGGCTAGTAAAGTTATGGGTAGGTTTTCCCTTCTAATATAAAATCAGAGAAGAGACAGACATTATATAAATGTCATACTGTAAAAGATCCAGATACCTGATGTCCTCAGAGACACACTTTTAAAAACACACATAATTATAAATATTCAGAGACAGAAATCACTTCTACACCTAAAATATTTGAGAATTAAAGGACCACAAGCAGTTTTTAAATTTTAATACTATTTGTATTTCACTCAGAATTAAATTTCCAAGAAAAAAAAACATATTTTAGAGTAAAATGTAGGTTCATTACTGGGTGTCTTAATACAATGTGTTTCTATACATTGGATCTTTTAATGAGACACTAAGTTTTAGGGCATATTCATTTTAAAGATATTATTCTGTTATTTCCTATCAGGATCTAAAATGTACCCAATTTCATTTCACATTGTTATCACAATAGGATGTATTACAGCAAGGTTTAAGTATATAGGACATTACATTTTTATTTAAATTTTCTAGATAAATGTACTAGTAGTTTAATACAAGAGTCACTGAAAACACAACTAAACATTATTTCCTTTTCTCTATTCCAACTCTCAGCACATTATTGACATCACAAACATCTTTACACTACTGCTTAGAATTTCAAAAATCTACATCTTTATAATTCTTTAAATAGATCATTTGAAACAAACTAAAATCGTATATAAATAAAAGTGTTTAAAATATTTATGCTAAGGTATGATCTAAACTATACATCACTTATTTTTTTAGTTGTATACCTACCTAAAAAGGGACTTGGTCATTACATTAAAATACTATCTCGCAAAGTGGTCATGGAGCCTTAGAGAACTATAAAAAGAGTAACAGACAGTAGAAGAATCCTTAACAAATAGGCTGGGCATGGTGGCTCATGCCTGTAATCCCAGCACTTTGGGAGGCTGAGGCGGGTGGAACACCTGAGGTTGGGAGTTCGAGACCACCCTGAACAACATGGAGAAACCCCATCTCTACTAAAAATGCAAAATTAGCTGGACATGGTGGCGCATGCCTGTAATCCCAGCTACTGGGGAGGCTGAGGCAGGAGAATCACTTGAACCTGGGAGGCGGAGGTTGCAGTGAGCCGAGATCACGTCATTACACTCCAGCCTGGGCAACAAGAGTGAAACCCCATCTCCCAGAAAAAAAAAAAAAGAATCCTTAACAAATAATACTATGTCATCTACATACAAATGAACCTTTCCTTGTCACAAAAACAAAAATCTGCTCAGAAGCTATTCAATCCTTAACTCAAGGTAGATAAACAGTAAACTCAGAAGCCACTCAAGTGGGTAGGAAGAATAAATGAAAATAGTATCATGCATGTGTTTTGAATTTGGTTCCTACAATGTGTAAACAAAAACTAGTTTCTACAGATATCTTTAACTAGAAGGTAAAAACTTATGTCACCTGACTTAACTGAAGAGGTATAATATGTCACTGAATGGCTGCCTTTTTTCCTGTGCTCTCTTCTTATCTTCCCTGAGTTATAAGAAGTCAGAGAACACATGGCCACTTTCCTTTACCACTCAGGAAATGACTTGGCAGATGTTATACTGTACACCATTTCAGTCATCAACTGTCGTCTATGTACATGTATCTGAATATATGTTTTTGCATATATAAGGAGAGTATAGTGTACGTCTGAAGACTGAAATATCAGAGAATTTTACTGCTCGAGTCAACTACTATACTGTGTCTTTTACAGCTATGAAATTAAGGTGAGACTGTAGTTTAACAGTGAGTCACTTCTTAATAAAGACATGATTCTGGTAGAGTAACTCAAACAGATTACCAACTTCTGCATTTGTCAATAGCTAATAACAATCAGTGTCAAACACTGAGAATGAAGAGAAGTGCATAAGCTGCTTGACAGTACCCACTTTGAATTTACAAAGACTCTTACTCCCCAGTTGTAAATGATTCTCTATTACCAGGTCTTGACAAATTATTAAGTAACAGGGCCACTGAATAAGAAAACAACAGTAACTTGTTTCAGAAAGCAGTTATGATTACAGCCATAATAAAATATAGTTTCCTAAGCCTATAATCAATGAGTTAACCCACTGTACTCTCAATAAAGATTTCACTTAAAGAAACATATCTTGCAGAGAAGGAAGATATGAAAGTGAAGCTCTTTTTCCAGAAAGGTTATTTTCTCTTTGATGAAACAAGAATCTTTAGCATGGAGCATGAACTGCATCAATCCAGTTTAGGTCTTTATTGTATTTACCACCCCAGTGTGTAGATTACCCTTGGAACTACTGATTCTAAATCTCAAGCTCTATTCATGCCAATTTCCTAAATCCACTTTTAAAAAGAAGATTAGTAAGAGATTATTAAAATAGTACACAAGGTTAGGATGATAAATTTTATTTTTTTACCATAATTAAGAAAAAGTAAAAGAAAAATAATTGTGCAAGAATCCTCAGAAGTTTAAAAAAATTCTTTACATCAAATGTGTGAAAGAAATGATATATATTTCATATTGAAGACAATGGTTGAATCATAAAGCAGATATATATTAGACCTTTGACCAGGTTCTAATGAGAAATCTTTACTTGAATAGTCTGACAAAAACACACCGAAAAAAAGAAAATCTCTAAATGGTGAGAATACTTTGAATATATGAAGAACACACACTACCTGCCTATCAATGATTCTAACTAGTCATTGTCTGACATTAAACTATAGCCAGTAGTCTCTTTTCTATAAAAGTTGCAGGTTACTGTCAACCCATATGTAGGCCCAGCTCATGAAAAAAGGCCATACCTTAGCTCACATCCTGAAGTCTGTGTGAAAAGCTATTTGAGTTCAAGGCACCTAGCTGGAAGTAGGTCTTTGAGACTGACAATGGATCCAACATGGTAAAAGCAATCAGCGACGGCCGCTACCATGGTATCCGCTGCTTTGTGCATACGTTGAATCTGGTTGTGATCACTGCCCTGAAGAAATACGAGGAAGCAACTGAAGTTTCCACTATTGCACAGAATTATCTGCAAACATTTTCCACTATGCTGTGAATTCCAACTAAATAGCTAATTAGTTAAACAAATTTTGGCTCTGTGACACATATCTGAAGTAGGATGTGAGCAAAATGGGCAAATCTTTCTCCTGAAAACAAAACAAAAAAGCAAACCCATACCTCAACATTCAATTATATTGAACTGCCTCTACCAGTATCTACCGCCCAAATAAAGTTGAGTATTAGTAAGACTAAATACACCATGTCAGAATTATGGTATTTTATAATCCAAAAACTGAAAACAGCTTAATACAGCTATTTCCTTGATAAAACAAGACCCCTTTAACCCTTTGCACTCCTAAATCTAAGCTAAACATACTGCAAAGTTGCAATAAACATTTAAAAAAGGAGAGCCATTTGAAGAAGTTATCTGGAGACTACATGCTGAAATGTAGATTCACAACTATTAAGAATTAGCACTGCAGAAGAAGATTCTAAAACTATAAGAGAATGAAACTTCTACATTTACCAAAAAGCACTGATCACACTGTGCTCCTCAGTTCTAAAGCTCTTTGACAGTAATTATAGTTTAGATTAGAGGTAAACTGAAAGAGTAAATAAAAATATTACTGTGGGAAACTGCTTCTAGTATCTCCAGGATGCACAAAAATAATTCTTGAAATGCACCAGTAAACGGGCGAAGATCTCCGTACTATAAATGTTTTCTGTGATTAATTTAAAGCTTAGTTTTTAACTCTATGATCCCCTTTTGTTTTTACTTAATCTCTAAGTGGAAGTACCAGTTTAATTTTGAATGATTTAAATGAATGTTGAAAGAAAAATATTTTGGTAGCATAAGTGAGCATGAAAGAAGGGAATACTTAAAATAGTTATAAGAAGCCTTTAAAAATAAAACCTTGATTTCTATACTAGACACAAATATACTAATTTTTAGGCCAAATTAAACATCACCAGACATACGGAAGGTACTGCATGCTACTGTTAAATAGAGTTGCCACAAATAATATGTTTCAGCAGTTTACCAGGGGACAACCCAACTGAGCCAGTCAAAGAAGAGATGTTAAAATAAATATTTGCCTATCTGTGTGAAAAAAGACTGACAAACAACTGAACTTGTTTACCACCATCAAAAACAGGAATGTTTAAAGAAATATATGGGTATAACAAATGCTATCTGGCTAAGAAATCAGGACTTTTTCATTTTTAGGTATAAGAAGCAGAGGTAAAAGAGTGTTTTTCAACAGAAATCAAAGTAGGAGGGCTGGAACTGAAATTTTTTTTAACTAAAGTGCTAGAAGATCCAGCTTATGGGGGTTAAAATAAAAGAGTCTGGTAGAAAATATGCCTTGAAAGATGTAAATCAAGTGATCTCCCATTGCTTAGGTATATAAAAAGGAAGTGGGGTACTTGTACAAGTGACTTCAGTTATTTAAAACTATGATGAACAACTTTCCATTAGGAAGAAACTTTGAGATAGCTAGGAAAAACGGCAATAAAAGATGCTTGCTTCAATGCTGTTCAAAGAGAAGTTAAATATCCAGAACACTTTACACTGAACATAGAGTCATTTGTGTCATGCCCTGGCAGCAAATAAGATTTTTTTATTCACAATAAGTTTCTCTCTCAAATTTTTGGTGAAACCATCAAATACCAACTACACTAAATACGATTTTTGCTTATTGGAGTACAGCAGAAAAAGTCTGCACAAAAGATCAGATATAAAAAAAAGGCTTTGTTCCTGCTTGAAGGAAGCTATGAAATACCATATTTATTCAAAAGTAAAACTACTATGGCTATATTTTAATTTCATCTTAAGATAATACCAGCTGGAATGACCAGCAGGAGATAAATTTCACCAGAACTAACTTGTAAATGCTAAAGGGTCCCATCTTCACAGAGTGACTATTTTGTGGGTAACAGAATGAATTTTCACAATAGATAATAATATTTAAATTCAAGTAAAAACAATATGTATGTACAGATTTAAAGTATTATGTTATCCACGCCAGAAATCCCTTTATTAGTGGAGGTAACTGAGAGTTACTTTCAAGTTCTGTCTTTTCTAACAGTCTAAAATAAAATGTTGAACAATACTCATAAATGGGGAGTGTTTTTGCTTACTCTTTAAATATCAAGTACTGCTGCATAAATCCTTTAACCATCTCTTCTTGACAAAGGAGCTAAAGATATTAGAAATATAGGGTACATTAAACCACAATAAAATGCAGGAAATGGAAAATAATACTGTGTGTGTGGGAGCAGGGGGCTTCTTTTGGTAATGCCATTTTATCACCAAGACATTGCCCTAATCTACGAAAGTGGATACCAAATCATCTTGAAAAGACAGTAGAAAAGTACATCCATCAATAATTAAGAAAATTTCAGAAAAATCTTATTTATTTATTTATTGAGACGGAGTTTCACTCTTGTTGTCCAGGCTGGAGTGCAATGGCAGATCTTGGCTCACTGCAACCTCCGCCTTCCAGGTTCCAGCAATTCTCCCACCTCAAGCCTCCTGAGTAGCTGAGATTACAGGCACCTACCACCACGCCTGGCTAGATTTTTGTATCTTTAGTAGAGATGGGGTTTCACCATGTTGGCCAGGCTGGTCTTGAACTCCTGACCTCATGTGATCCACCTGCCTCCCAAAGTGCTGGGATTACAGGCGTGAGCCACCACACCCAGCCTTATTAATTCTTATTCAGTTAATACTGCAAGAAAAACATCGACAGCTAAAGCTGACCTACTCTTCATAAAAGTGATTATAAAGTTGCTACCTGCTCATACTAGAGAGATAACCAAACACAATGAGTCTCAGTTTAGTTTGGTAATCTAGTAATTAGACGTGACTAGAATACTATGGATATTTAGTGAAATATGCTGCCCTTTAATCTCCTATCATAGGATATTACAAATTCTTCAGGGGAGTGAAAACACATGAGTAAAAGGAAAACAGTAAGAAAATTCTGTAAAATGCACATTATTCTATGTATTTTTTAAATTATCAAAAACAGGTTATTTTCTTCTCTTTTTATTTTTCTGAGATAGATTCTCGCTCTGTCGCACAGGATGGAGTGCAGTGGCGTGATCTCGGCTCACTGCAACCTTCACCTCCCAGGTTCAAGCGATTCTCATGCCTCAGCCTCCTGAGTAGCTAGGATTACAGGTGCACACCACCACGCCTGGCTAATTTTTGTATTATTAGTAGAGACAGGGTTTTGCCTTGTTGCCCAGGCTAGTCTCAAGTGATCCACCTGCCTTGGCCTGCCAAAGCACTGGAATTACAGGCATGAACCGCCACACTTAGCCCAAAAGCAGATTTTTTTCAACTAAAAATATTTTACTTCATTGCCATCATTTAAAAATAATTTTTTTTTTGAGACGGAGTCTCGTTCTGTTGCCCAGGTTGGAGGGCAGTGGCGAAATCTCGGCTTACTGTAACCTCCACCTCCCGGGTTCAAATGATTCTCCTGCCTCAGCCTCCCGAGTAGCTGGGACTACAGGCGCGCACCATCATTCCCAGCTAATTTTTGTATTTTTAGTAAAGACAATGTTTCACCATGTTGGCTAGGCTGGTCTTGATCTCCTGACCTCATGATCTGTGTGCCACAGCCTCCCAAAGTGCTGGGATTACAGGCGTAAGCCACAATGTCCGGCCCCTTAAAAATAATTCTTAAATATCCTAAATATTAGAACCAGCTCAGAAGCTCCATGCTCTGATTTTTAATTAATCATTTACACACAAACCTAATTATTATTTGGGAGTGAAGTTTAATTTAGCAGATAAATGTTTTGAGACATTAGGAGGTATGAGTTCTTATCATAGCTATGTCACTAACCATCAGAGAACTGAGAACAAATAACAGTCTGTATGAACTTTGTTTTTCTCATTTATAAAAAGGTGGAATTTGAACTACCCGAATGCTAAAATCTATAGATAATATGAACAAGTTACTAAATGTAATGTGCCCAGAAAGACCTGCTACGAAGTAAATTTTACTTAGCAACAGACTTCAAATTCAGTAATTAAGACTGGTTGAGATTTTGGCCGGGTGTAGTGGCTCACATTTGTAATCCCAGGACTTCAGGAGGCTGAGGCAGGTGGATTGCTTGAGCTCAGGAGTTCAAGACCAGCCTGGGCAGCAAGGGGAAACCCCATCTCTACTATAAACACAAAAATTCGCCGGGAGTGGTGGTGTACGCCTGTAGTCCCAGCTACTTGGGTCAAGGTGGGAGGATCGCTCTGGGTGGTGGAGGTTGCAGTGAGCCGATATAGTGCCACATAGCCTGGGTGACAGAGTTTAACCCTGTCTCAAAAAAAAAAAAAAAAAAAAAAAAAAAGGACTGCTTGAGATTTTGTCTGAGATAATACAGTGAAAACTGTCGTGAAACATAAAGCTCATATAATGCCATTTGATAAAGAATAAAGTGATCATTTTATACTAATATGTTATGCTTCTGAGGCAGAAACACTAAGTCAATTTATAATTTTTTTTTAAGTTGTTTTTTTTTTTAAATCACTTAAGTAACAGAGTAAGTTGTATTTAGGCATTTAATCAGTGTTTTCCAACAACCAATTAAGGCTTAAATTTAGCCATTATACAAGCGTGAATCCTAATGATCAATGAACTATTTGGGTAGTGGGTAGTAGTGGTATATAAAAATAGAAGTAGCTAGACTATGGGTCAATCAAACTATCTTTCTTCATCAATACTGTTTTCCATGATGAACATCAACAGTATCAGAAGGCTTAGAAGCTAAATCTCAGCTTTATTACCTATTACTAAGTTTGTAATGTAACATTCTAAGCAACAGATTCATTTTCTATCAAATAAGAATAGTACATACTTTCTTGCCCACTACATAGAGCAGAAAAATCAATATATACCTAAGCAATTCAGAAACTATAAATCCTACATAAAAGTTAGGACTGTATTATTAACTCCTTATATTCTTATATAACTATACGCAACTATGTATTTATTACAATGCATGCTTGATTTAGGGCAGATTGGCTTATTTTCAAGAAACAAGAAGAGAAAAAAATGAAAGCACAGAGGCTGGAAAAGAAATACTGTACTAATCGGCTGGGCACGGTGGCTCACACCTGTAATCCCAGCACTTTGGGAGGCCAAGGTGGGTGGATCACCTGAGGTCAGGAGTTCACGAATAGCCTGGCCAACATGGCAAAATCCTGTCTCTACAAAATATACAAAAATTAGCCGGGTGTGGTGGCACGCGCCTGTAGTCCCAGCTACTCAGGAGGCTGAGGCAGAAGAATCACTTGAACCTGGGAGGCGGAGGTTGCAGTGAGCCAAGATCACGCCACAGCACTCTAGACTGGGTGACAGAGTGAGACTTTGTCTCAAAAAAAAAAAAACAAAAGAACCAAATATTGTACTAATCAAAATTTAATTGGTAGAACAAAAGGAATGCATGAAATAATTTTGTTTTGTATCTGCCTAAGTCGTCAATCAGAACATTTCTAAAATTGATTTTCACCAAATTTTGAGTCCTCACAATCGGTATGGAATGAGGCTTGGAGTCTGTGCATCAATAAACATCTTTTCACAGGTTGTCTTTGGCCCGTGTGCAACATTGCTTGCACCTGATATATACCCTTTGCTACTTTTCAAGTCTCTTTTTCTGTCTTGGTCCTTAGGAAACTATTTCCTCCCACTCTTTATAGGCCTAAACCCCAAAAATATTACATACAAAAATGACTAAATTATAAAACTAAAGAAGTAAGCCAGAATCTAAGGCTTTGGGGATAGAATTAATGATAATCTGGTATATTTTTTTCTGCCAGAAAGAAAGGGGTTTCAATCACAAAGCGATTGAATATTGCCAGCCTAAGGGCATCTAAAAAAATAAAACGTTTATGGTTACAGGAATTTTCAAACACTAGCCCAGGGAATGGATCTCACCTAGAGTGCAAGTCCTTGATGGGTGAATACTAAGTTTTTTTCTTCTGCCTAATATGATAGTAGGCAAGTAGAGGAAATAAGCCTCTTAAACAATTCCTCTGAAATAAAATAAAGAACTACTTAACATTATACAGGCAAATAAATTAAAAAGAACCAATATTTAGGGTTTAATCAACCATTTTCATTCAAACTATTATTAAAAATAATTTTAATTGAACAAGAAAAACATACAATGCCAGCATCCTGATATGCTCCACTTTTTATTGTTTAGGTTTTAAAAAACTTTTATTTATTTATTTATTTTTGAGACGGAGTATCATTCTGTAGCCCAGGCTGGAGTGCAATGGCACTATCTTGGCTCACTACAACCTCCGCCTCCCCGGTTGAAGCGATTCTCTTGCCTCAGCCTCCCAAGCAGCTGGGATTACACCCACTGTGCGCCACCACACGCAGCTAATTTTTGTATTTTCAGTAGAGATGGGGTTTCACCATGTTGGCCAGGCTGGTCTTGAACTAATGACCTCAGTTAATTTGTCTGCCTTGGCCTCCCGAAGGGCTGGGATTAAAGGTGAGAGCCACTGCACCCAGCCAAAAAAATTTTTTTAAATTTAAATATTATTTTAAAGAAGAGAGATGGGGGTCTCGTTATATTACCCAGGCTTGTCTTAAACTCCTGGGCTCAAGTAATCCTCTCACCTCAACCTCCCAACATGCTGGGATTACAGGTGTAAGCCACCGCACCCAGCCTATTCTTTAGGTTTTAAGTGACAGATGATATTAGAAGAATGGTCTAAGTGAAATTTACAGGCCGGGCAAGGTGGCTCATGCCTGTAATGCCAGCACTTTGGGAGGCCAAGATGGGCAGATCGCCTGAGGTCAGGAGTTCGTGAACAGCCTGGCCAACATGGCGAACCTCCGTCTCTACAAAAATACAAAAAAATTAGCCGGGCGTGGTGGCGGGAGCCTGTAGTTCCAGTTACTTGGGAGGCTGAGGTAGAAAAATCACTTGAACCCAGGAGGTGGAGGCTGCAGTGAGCCAAGATTATGTCACTGCACTCCAGCCTGGGCGACAGAGTGAGAGACTGTCTCAGGGGGAAAAAAAATTACAATACGTTTTAGCATTATAGGTATAGGTAAAGTACACATTCAAAATGCTATTAAACTAATGTACCAAATGTCACATATATTCCTTAAAAAAACACCTTTAATTTCTGAAGAAAATCCTGAGAATACTTAACTCTAACCTTGTCTTCTAGTTCAAAAAATGCAAAGTGTTGAATGTAAAATCTCTATTTTGACATAAAATACTGGCCTAATCTTTTGTTCCTCCAGAAGGAATGCTATCTCAGAAATGGCCTTAATTCAAATTCTGGTTATTAGTAAACCAGCCAACATCAATATTCATCAGTTTATCTGTGTTAACTTTTACACTTAACACCATGCAGTTATTACAAATCACGACTCTTGAAAGGGGGTATTAGGAAAGATAGTAAATTACAGAAACACAGAGCCCTGAACCAAAAAATATTAAAACATCATCTTTATGAAGCTCTTAAAACAATCTGTACAGTGAATACCCAACAACTGCCTAAAGAATTGTCAACTTTCAAAACACAGACTAAATCACCATTAAACACCCCTAGCTGCCACCTTACAGTGTCAATAGGTTACTCTAACAGGTAAGTCAGAAAAGATGAAATTAACTAAAAAGTACACTCATTCCTTGAGCAGTGCGCTAGTTTACACTAAATATCAATCCCATCAGAGTACTGTAATTATCATGCACCAAACTGTAAGAGATTAATCACTTAGTATTAAGGTGTAATTGAGGACAACTTAAAACACGGCTTAAAGTCTACTGTTTCAAAAATAAAAATTCAGAGGCTACTTTTCAGATATATGTATGTATGTATATTAGAGATATTATATATAATTATGTACCTGATACATTACTATATATAATAGTGAAAACTCTATAATAAGAGAACTACAAGACATAAAAGAAAATCCCACAGTGTTAATCCTGAGTTCCTTCTTTAAGCAGTCATTCTAGTTTTTTTGTTTGTTTGTTTGTTTGTTTTTGAGACAGAGTCTTGCTCTATCCCACAGGCTAGAGTGCACTAGTGGGATCTTGGCTCACCGCAACCTCTGCCTCCTGGGTTCAAGTGATTCTCCTGCCTCGGTAGCTGGGATTACGGGTGCGTGCCACCACACGCAGCTAATTGTTTTGTATTTTTAACAGAGACGGGTTTCGCCATGTTGACCAGGCTAGTCTTGAACTCTTGACCTCAGGTGATCCACCTGCCTCGGCCTCTCAAAGTGCTGGGATTAGAGGCGTGAGCCACCACGCCCAGCTAAGCAGTCATTCTTACCAAAACCTTTGGATGAACAGAAAGTTCAGTGATATGGCTGCAATATTGGTTCTACCTACTCTACTCCACAGCACACCACCTAAAAGGAGTACAGTGTACAAGGCAACTCAACTAATATATCAGGGTTTTACTTACCATGTTGCCCAGGCTGGTCTTGAACTCCTGGGCTCAAGCAATCATCCTCCCACCTTGGCCTCCCAAAGTGCTGGGATTATACACAAGAGCCACCATATCCAGCCCAGCTTCCTTTTAAAAATTCAATGATACATCCAAGAGCTGGCTGTTTTTACATCTAAATTATAGATCAGGCCGGGCGCGGTGGCTCACACCTGTAATCCCAACACTTTGGGAGGCGGAGGGGGGCAGATCACTTGAGGTCAGGAGTTCAAGACCAGCTTGGCCAACACGGTGAAACCCCCTCTCTACTAAAAATACAAAAATTAGCCAGGTGTGGTGGTAAGGGCCTCTAATCCCAGCTACTGGGGAGGCTGAGGAGAATTGCTTGAACCCAGGAGGCGGAACTTGCAGTGAGCCAAGATCGCACCACTGCTCTCCATCCTGGGTGACAGAGTAAGACTCCGTCTCAAAATAAATAAATACATAAAATAAAATATAGATCACTTTTCTTTTCCATTGTTGCACAATTTTACATGTATGAATATTCTGTAGTATAAACAATCCTCCTTTTGATGGACATGCATTTATTTTTCCAGTGTTTCATTTAACAAACAAAATCTGAATGATTATTCCCGATTGTACTGCTTTGCACACATGGTCTAATATATTTCAAGGATTAATAAGTAAACACTATTTTATTCACAGTAAATGGTTCACTCATGTTTACACTGTCTCCTATTTATGGCAAATGATAATGGTCCATCCGCTATGGGGGTAATTTGAAGTTTCCTCTTTAAAAGCCTAAGAAAAACTTGTTTAATTTTTTAAGTTGATCTGAAGAAAAATTCTAAGTAGAAAAAAAAGGCAAAGAAAAATTTAAGTAAACAGTAGCATAGGTGGTATAACATCTAAAAGTTCTTCCTCACAAATGCCAAGGTTCTGCATTCTAACAAAGAATTTCTACCAAGAAAATTTCCTTCAGTTTTCAATCAAGAAAACTGACTTATTTAATAAAATTAATAATATCTCACCATCATATGAGTTCTCTTTTAGATTTGGGTAGATAGGACACAAAATTTAATGTTGTATAAGTGTTCCATGTCTACAACTTTAGCTGGGTGACAGCTTTAAGCAAACAGTAGAGGAACAGGAAGACATGAACATGTATGGAGTCTCACCCTGCCATTCCAGGACCTTAATACAAAAGATTTAAGATGCTTTTTGACTTAACGACTTAGCTTCTATCAATCGACGGATCATAGCTTTCTGCCTGAGTCCGTCAAATAACCAAGTAATAGGATTAGTGTTGGAAAATTTCTGCCTAACATTGTAGACGTCGGATTCGTATATGAGAACAAAGGAAGCCATGTTCCCAGATCCATTTATGCTATGGCACTTGTACTCTATTGAAGGAGATCCCTAGAGATAAATCTGCAGTTGCCAATATGAACACAGATTGCTTTTTAAGACAAATATCTGGAGCATGGAATATATTTCTACCTGGAAACTAACTATCTATTAAGTCCATAATATGAGAGCAAGAGTGCTGATGAGTACCAAAATCTCAGTCCCCCAAAACAGTAGGACAGGGAGAAGACATATACAGCTCTATCTGCTGAGACAAAACAGATGAAAGTCTCTTCCATGGTAGTTTGGTCTTGTTCCAACTTCCCCTCCAACCATTCAACTACACCTGAAGACCATCTTTCTATAATGCAAACCTGATGAGAGCTGCTGAAAACCTTTCAGTGGCTCAACATTACTTTTAAGGTAAGTAACTCTGTGATATATTCCTGTTTATCTTCTAGCCCCTGATTTCCTCTCCAGGCTCATCTCCCACCACTACCTTCCAGCTACACTATGCTCAGGCACACCAAACTTTTCAAGGTCCCCTGAATATGTGATGCTTTCCTTCACTGCTAACATTGTTTTCATACCCTTGGGACACCAATCCCTTGCCCCTCTTCATTTGTACTCTATTCTTGGTTAATTCCTATGTATCCTTTAGGCCTCCAAATCTGGATTGATTTTCCTGTAGTGTCTTGAATTCTACTAATATGTCAGATACTATGTTGTTACAACTGCCAGGTTGGCCCAGCGCAGTGGCTCACACCTGTATGTACTCCCAGAACTTTGGGAGGCTGAGGCGGGCGGATTACCTGAGGTCAGGAGTTTGTGACCAGCCTGGCCAACATGGTGAAACCCCGTCTCTACTAAAAATACAAAAATTAGCTGGGCGTGGTGACACACGCCTGTAATCCCAGCTACTCGGGAGGCTGAAGCAAGAGAATTGCTTGAAACCAGGAGACGGAGGTTGCAGTGAGCCGAGATCAAGCCACTGCACTCCAGCCTGGCCGAGAGAGCGAGACTCTGTCCAAAAAAAAAAAAAAAAACCTGCCTGGTTATTATTTCCCCCATTTATATGTCAGCCCCTTAGAAAGAAGACCAATTTTCTAGTTATGTGCCCACAGACATTAAAAAAAAAATCTGTTAAGTGAATGCATCAGTAATGATTTTGTGACCAGGCCAGATCTCACCTATCAGTGTTAATCATGAATTTCTTATAATCATGAATATGTTACAAATTAGATAAATGTAAGGTAAATGATAAGCCTTTCCAGCTTTCTTTTTTATTTTCTTTATTTTTGTTCTTACACATGCAGAGTGGGTCTCACTCTGTCGCCCAGGATAGAATGCAGTGGTAAAATCATAGCTCACTGTAACCTCAAAATCCTAGTCTCAAGCGATCCTCCCACCTCAACCTCCTGAGCAGCTAGGACTACAGGTGCAGCCCACGATATTGACTAATTTATTTTTATGTTTTGTAGAGACAGGGTCTCCCTATGTTGCCAAGGCTGGTCTTGAACTCCCGGCTTCAAGTGATCGTCCCACCTAAGCCTCCCAAAGTGCTGGCACTGGGATCCAGATTCTTAATGATGTCTTTTTATCTCCTCTTGTAAGGGTTTTGGGCTTGGGGGCGCACAAACCTATGGAATCTCCTCCATTCTCTGAATTATCAGATCAAAATTAATTGGGTTTAGGCAGTGGCCTCAGGATAGATTTCAAGATAGACAGGATATTCTCAGCAGTCACAGTTAACATCCTCTTTACACTTGACCTTTTTCTTTAATTTCTCTCATCCCCAAAAGGAAGGTAAAAATTCTATTACAAATACAACATACACATCATTTCAATGAAAATCATTATATGCAACCACAATCACTACCTAGAGATCTGCAGAATACACAATGAATCTATTTTCTTTATCTAATATATATATATTAGGTATACATATATATATTAGGTATACATATATATATTAGGTATATATATATTAGGTATATATATATATTAAGTGTATATATATATTAGGTATATAAAAATAAGTAGTAAACTACGATTTCTCTTACTTAAAAAAAGAACCATACCAAATACATGTACTTTATTCACCCTTGGATTTCACAGTAATAGAGACAGAAATATTGTAAAATGTTTCTGAGTGTGTGATACATAGTATGTATGTATGTATGTATGTATGTATGTATTTTTTGAGACAGAGTTTCCCTCTGTTGCCCAGACTGGAGTGTAATGGAGTGTGATGGTGTGATCACTGCAACCCCCACCTCCCAGGCTCAAGTGATTCTCGTGCCTCAGCCTCCCAAGTTCCTGGGATTACAGGTATGTGCCACCACACCCAGCTGAATTTTTGTATTTTTAGTAGAGATGGGTTTTGCTATGTTGGACAGGCTGGTCTAGAACTCCTGGCCTCAAGTGATCAGCCCAAGTCAGCCTATCAAAGTGCTGGGATTACAGCCGTGAGCCACTGCACCCGGCCGTGATACACAGCATTTTTAAAGTTACAGCTCCAAACCCTCAAAAAACACTAAAATAGACCCTGAAAGTGATACATTAACAGAACACATTTTCCTGAATCATTCTCTTCTCAGAGTATTCTAGGATTTTTGTGAAATACAGTTGGGAATGAGGCAGACAGGTGGGGTGGGGAGCTTTGAGTCAGTGTTAAAATTAAACTAAGGCCACTTTCTGTGGGTATACACTGTAAGGGAAAAATGGATTATTTTGTGAACTCTGTTAGAAAAAAAAATACATCTTAAGTTGTGACAACTGGAAAAGAATAGATTTTACTCTCTCTGTGAAGCTGAAAATGAATTCTCTATATGGTAAACCTTGAAAGTAGAGATGTAGTAACATTATTAGTCTTTACCGGTGCCGTCTTATAACAGAGGCTGCACAGATTAGCAGAGACCATGAGGGTTTCAACGAAAAAGTATATTCAAGTCTTAATGCAAAATATAATAATGTTTATCAGTAAAAAGAATTACTAAAAATATGTACTGCACACGGTCACTGTAAAGATAAAATAATCTAATGAAATGAGCTTTACGAACACTCATTATATCTTCACATGCATATTTTGTTGGTACATAGTTTATAAGTCTGAAGAATGTTCTCTGGCTGAAGAATAAAAGAATTTAAATGGAATAATTTCATCCGGTTAATCAAATAGAAAAATAAAGAGCTCCAGTTAATTGAAACTCAGTTATCCTCTATCTGAAATTAAATTTTCATGGTGAATTAACTGGTGTATTTTTATAAAGAAGATTCCTTTCTCAAAAAATTATACAGTGTTATGTGAACAGGAAATAGATTAAGCTAAGAAAAGCAAATAGACCAAAGAGGCACTATAGGTGTCCAAATTTCCTGCAATAAGAATATTCTATAATTACCTTAGAATTCAATACTCTATAACTCCATTTTTGCAGGATCTAATAGAAATTATAGCATAAGGAAATACACAGTTTAAAGAAGGATATTATTATTTACTGGTTTTATTTTCACTTTGTAACACTATAAATGTGTGATACTGTTTTTAATCAAGGCTAAACCTAAAACAACATTCCAAATCATTATGCAATTTTTCATCTAAAAGACAAAATATACCTGGGTAAAAAACACTCAAGGTTTTATAAATTTTCAATTTTAGTTATAAGCTAACAGAGTCATCTCAAAACACAGAAATGTAAGGTACAGAAATACAGGGCAAGATTCCCCTAAAAAGACATGATGGCAGTTTCAAAGCTCAGTATATATTATACATATTGATATACTGAAAACTATGTTTATTCTACAAGAATAAGCAACACAGATGGCCAGGGAAGGGAATAAGATGTTTTAGTAGACACTTCTCAAGGAGGCATTAGCTCAATGAGACAATCAGATGTTCAGTTCAATTATGATACCACACTATTGTTATATTATTACACTAGCTTCCTTGGTTACCAGTGAGAAAGATTCTGGGGGGGGCCACAAGATAGGAGGGGACCAAATACAACACTATTCTCTTCTCTACAAAAGAAAAAATATCACACTATCAAAGAAAATATACCTTTACATTTTCCATTACTAGTAACAGAGTTGTATGAGTCTACAACTTTTTATCTCTACCAACTGGCTCTTCATTTCATCTTTTCTATAATTTATGATTCTGACTGCCTGGCAATGAGCCATCACCACCATATAATTCACCCATGTAATCAAAAACCATTTGTATGCCAAAAGCTATTAAAATAAATGAATAAAGTGATAATGACAACACATTAAGCCAACAAAGTCAGAATTCCTTCACAAGGTGATTTCTCCCTCATAGGCAAAGACTAACAAGAATTATTCTTCCAGTGACCAATTCTCTATGATCTTTTGATCTACACTATTTCTTAAGTCATAGGTTCTTAAAAAATAAGTGAGAAAAAGCAAAGTAAATACAGTAAATACGGTAAATGACATTAATTTACTCAAAAGGTAACTGAAAAAGGAGTAAACTTCCATTAACAGTATAAATGCTTCAAAATTCAGAATTAGGCCATCTTTGAGGAATAAACTGACAACCACTGAACAGATTCTGCCATGAGAAAGGAAAAGGTCACTGAACAGATCCTGCCAAGGGAAAGGAAAAGGTCTCCTAGGTTATTTAAAAAAGAGTTTTGACAGAACTCATCCTCTGAATCTACTAAGGTGTAAACAAACTAAAAATAACAATTCAGTTTTCCTTAAAGATAAGCATTAAGACTTATTTTAATTCCATCAAATACTGAATCCTTTGACTTCTAAAATAAAACAGAAGTAATCCATAAACCTAAGAATTATACTTCTAAGATTCTATCTGCAGAGATTTCTGCAAGCACCAAAAGATGTATGTATGAGGTTATTATGAACTGAAAATAACCTAAAATCTACTAATAAATAGTTAAATAAAATATAGCACCTAAATACAAAGGTGAATTTGAAGTATTTAGAACAATGTCAGTGGTATTTATTGACACTGAAAGATGTCTCTGACATCAACATTATGTGAGAAACTAGCATCTATTTGTCTAACAGGTACAATGGGACACCATTTGGGAAAAACTTCATACCTATAGCTATGAGATCACACAGGGAGATACTGAATAAGCAATTGTGAATAAATGTTTCTAAGTGTATAATTTGGGTGGATACTTTTTCTTTGTATGTTTATTTATTGCTTGTGTGTGAGGGTGTGCATGTTTCTTTCTTTTTTTTTTTTTGAGACGGAGTCTCGCTCTGTCACCCAGGCTGGAGTGCAGTGGCGTGATCTCGGCTCACTGCAACCTCTGCCTCCCGGGTTCACGCCATTCTCCTGCCTCAGCCTCCCGAGCAGCTGGGACTACAGGTGCCCGCCACCATGCCTGGCTAATTTTTTGGTATTTTTAGTAGAGACGGGGTTTCACCATGTTAGCCAGGATGGTCTTGATCTCCTGACCTCGTGATCCATCCACCTCGGCCTCCCACAGTGCTGGGATTACAGGTGTGAGCCACCGCACCCAGCCGAGGGTGTATATGCTTTTAAAAAGCACATATCACTGAAAAACAAAAACACCCATGGAGTTATTTTAAAAACATTGTTAGAGGCAAACTCAAGAGAAATGAACATTGTATATAGTACCTTAAACGGTTGGTATAGGTATCAACACAGGTCTTCATTTTGGCTAACAATGTACCAACAGAAGTTTGACATTCTGACTGTTCTTCTTCCTCTTCACCGTTCTCTGTAGAAAGGGGCAACAATAGGGGCACCATGGCAGCACAAGAAGCAATGGCCCGAAGCAATTCCAGCAGTGCCCGATAGAGTGGCACATGTCTTGCCATGTCCAGAACTATAAGGAGAAGAAGAAAAAGCACAAAATGAGCAAATGTACAATATAAAAGTAGGTCCACAGGAATGTAGCTTTTACCTGGATCTTACCAAGGTCCACAGCTGACCCGGCTGGGCACGCTGGTTCAGGCCTGTAATCTCAGTACTTTGTGAGGCCGAGGCAGGCAGATCACCCGAGGTCGGGAGTTCGAGACCAGCCTGACCAACATGTAGAAACCCTGTCTCTACTAAGAATACAAAAATTAGCCAGGTGGGATGGCGCATGCCTGTAATCTCAGCTACTCGGAGGCTGAGGCAGGAGAACTGTTTGAACCTGGGAGGCGGAGACTATAGTGAGCCAAGATCATGCCATTGCACTCCAGCCTGGGCCACAAGAGTGAAACTCCGTCTCAAAAAAATTACAGCTGACCCTTGAACAACACAGGTTTGAACTGCACTAGTCCACTTATATACAGATTTTCTGCCAGCCTGAGACAGCAAGACCAACCTCATCACTTCTTCCTCATTAGGCTACTCAACATGAAGACTCTGAGTATGAAGACTTTTATGATGATCCACTTCCATTTAATGAACAGTAAATATATTTTCTATGATTTTTTTCTTAATATTTTCTTTTCCTTACCTTACAGTATATAATACATACAACATCCAAAATGTGTTAATTGATTATCAGTAAGGCTTCCAGTCAACAGTAGGCTATTAGGAGCTAAGTTCTGGAAGAGTCAGGAGTTATACTTGGGGCCGGACACTGTGATTCGCGCCCATAATCCCAGACCTTTGGGAGGCCAAGGTGGGAGGATCACTTGAGCCTGGGAGTTTGAGACCGGCCTGGGCAACATGGTAAAACTTCCATCTCTACAAAAAGATAACAAAAAATTAGCTGGGCGTGGTGGCGCACACCTGTAGTCCCTGCAACTGGGGAGGACAAGATCATGCCACTGCACTCCAGCCTGGGTGATAGGGCAAAATCCCGCCTCAAAAAAAAAAAAAAAAAAAGAAAAAGTTATACTTGGATTCTCAAATATGTGGGGGTTGGTACCCTTAATACCTGCATTATTCAAGGGTCAACTTAATAGGTTAGCTGCTAAATGAAAGAATGCAGCAGATATTTAAGAAGCACCAATATACAAACTATAATAATAGGCACTTTTGGAAAACAAAAAAAAGTAAAGTATCAAGTTTAGGGGAGAACAAGAAATGTAACTAAATATCTAGTTATATTACATATAGAAATGATTAAATACACCAGATAATATATTATGGCTGGAAACATATTTATCAGTATGAAGTGGAAACTTTTTTAAACTAAATTGAATGATGAAGTTATTTTATCTTTTGTGAAAACGAATGACAGAATTGCAATTTATCCAGAGTCTATTTCAATAAATCAACTTTCTTTTTAGTAAAAAAGAAAATATTGCCTATGTTAACTTCCAATTACTAGCTATAAATCAAATGAATTTTGTATTAAAATTATTTGTATCTAAGAGTGAATTCCTTACTCGAGGAACACACGTTGCTTCTAAGGCTTTTATAAGTTGTTTTGTTGGGTTTTGTGTTGTATACCAACTGGAATTTACTTTTGTGAATAACGTGAGATAAGGATCTAACATCTCTCTTCCAATGACAGTTACTGAACAGCCATTCCATAAACATTTACTGGCAGGGCGCGGTGACTCACACCTGCAATTTCACCACTTTGAGAGGCTGAGGCTGATGGATCACCGGGGGTCAGGAGTTCGAGACCAGCCTGGCCAACATGGTGAAACCCCGTCTCTACTAAATACGAAAATTAGCTAGGCATGGCGGCACAGGTCTGTAATCCCAGCTACTCAGGAGACTGAGGCAGGAGAATCGCTTGAACTCAAGAGGCGGAGGCTGCAGTGAGCTGAGACCACATACTGCACTCCGGCCTGGGTGACAGAGCAAGACAGTCTCAAAAACAAACAAACAAAAAACATTTACTGAAAACCTGTTGCTGGACAGGCTGGGAATAAGCAGTAAAGAAAACAAACAAAAATCTCTACCATCAAGTATCTAACATTCTAGGCGAAGGACATGAGTTACATTCTTTTCAGAAGCTAGTAAGTATTCTGAATGCTATATAGAAAACTAAAGCAGGGGAGGAGAATTGTGGGAGTCCAACTAGAGGTAGGAATTGCCTCAGTGCCCACAGAGCTATATGGGGATTAAGTTGTAACAGGATGTGGCATCACCTAGCATCCTGTACTTTGTATGGTAACTGATGTGAAAGAGATCTCTACAACTGATGTAAAATAGAGACTATCAGAGCTTAATGACAGTGAGGCTACTTGGAGTGACGTTCAAAGTGATGGAAGAGAAGGTCATTTTACACCTTCCAGTGATGATGCAGAGGACAGGGTAGTATGACTGCCATTCTTTCCTTGTTTCCCCTTGTTTCCACATATACTTGAGTATGAAAGCCCATTTTCCAACCCATGAACAATGTCACAACATCCTACTTACTATAATTTTATAGTATTATAAGATACTATGTTATTCAGGAAAATCAAAATTATATCCAAAAGTTACTAACTGATAGGCATAAAACACAATGTCAGTACTTGTGAGGATGTGGAAAAGCTAGACTCACATATAGGTAAAAGCGCAAACAGGTATAGCCAACTGGCATTATCTATTAAAATTTTAAATGCCTATATTCTATGACTCAATAATAGCACTTGTTACTGTCTACCCTACAAAGAAATGTTCAATACAATACTGTTTTCAATAGGGAAAGCTGGAAATGATCTACCAGTAATACCATAATCAAACAATAACATTCACAGTAATACAATAATAGTGGGAGACTTCAACACCCAACTCACAGCACTAGAAAGATAATTGAGACAGAAAATTAACAAAGAAAACATTGGACTTAAATTGGACTTTGGACTAAATGGACTTAACAGACGTAGGACAGTCTACTCAACAATGACAGTATATACATTCCTTTCACCAACACATGAAACATTCTCCTAGACAGACCACGTTAGTCCATAAAAGGAGTCTTAACAAAATTTTTGAAAATCGAAATCATATCAAGTATCTTCTCAAGACCACAGTGGAATAAAGCTAGAAAACAATACCAACAGGAACATTGGAAGCAGTACAAATACATGGAAATTAAACAGCATGATACTGAATGATCACTGGGTCAACAAAGAAATTAAGGCAAATTTAAAAATTTTTTGAAATGAATGAAAATGAAACGCAACATCAGAAAAACTGTGGGATATAGCAAATGCAGTGCAAAGAGAGAGAAGTGTATAGCCTTAAAAGCCTGCATCAGAAAGTGGGTAACAAATCAACAATCTTACATGTACCTCAAGGAACTAGAAAAGTAAGAACAATCCACACCCAAAGTTAGAATAACACAGAACTAAATGAAATACAGCCCCCCACAACAAAAATATACAAAGCATCAGCAAACTGAAAAGCTGGTTTTCGAAAAGATAAACAAAACTGATAAACTATTAGCTAGACTAACCAAGAAGAGAGAAGATCCAAATAAACAGAATCAGAAATGAAAAAGGAATACAACTGATACTACAGAAATACAAAAGATCAGGGACTATTATGATCAACTCTACACTCAACCTAGAAAACCTAGAGGAAACAAGTAAATTCCTGGAAACATACAACCTCCTGAGATTGAACAAGAAACAAACTGAATTTCTAAACAAACTAATAACAAGCAGTGAGATTCAATCATAATAAAACATCTCCCAACAAAAAAAAAAAAAAAAAAAAAAAAGCCCAGGACCACATGAATTCACAGCCAAATTCTACCAAATATAAAAACAACATACTGATACAAGTCCTCCCAAAACTAAAAAAATTAAGGAGGAGTTTATTCTCTCTAACTCATTTTATGAGGCCGGTAATATGCTGATACCAAAACCAGGCAAAGATATAATAAAAGCAGAAAACTAAAGACCAATATCCCTAATAAAGTCAGACACAAAAATCCAAAACAAAAAACAAGTAAATCAAATCCAACAGCACATCAAAAAGATAATACAATAATGGCATGGTGGTTCACACCTGTAATCCCAACATTTTGGGAGGCTGAGGCAGGAGGATCACTTGAGACCAAGAGATCGAGACAAGCAAGGTCAAAAGAGCAAGAAAACCTGTCTCCACAAAAATAAAATAAAATAAAATAAAATAAGCCAGATGTGATGGCAAAAACCTGTATTCCCAGCTACTTGGGAGGCTAAGGTGGGAGGACTGCTTGAGACCAGGAGTTTGAGGCTAAAGTGGGCTACGATGACACCATTGCACCCTAGCCTGGGCAACAGAGCAAGACCTCAACCCTTAAAAATAAACAAATAGGCCGAGCGTGATGGCTCACACCTGTAACTCCAGCACTTTGGGAGGCCAAGGTGGGTGGAAAACCTGAGGTCAGGAGTTCGAGACCAGCCTGGCCAACATGGTGAAACCCATCTCTACTAAAAATACAAAAATTAGCCGGGTGTTGTGGTGCAAGTCTGTGGTCCCACCTACTTGGGGGTGCTGAGGCAGGAGAATCGCTTGAACCCAGAAAGTGGAGGTTGCAGTGAGCCAGGATAATACCATTGCACTCCAGCCTGGGTGACAGAGCGAGACTCCATCTCAAAACAAACAAACAAACAAACAAACAAATAAATGGCCACGCACTGTAGCTCACACCCGTAATCCCAGCACTTTGGGAGGCCAAGGTGAGTGAATTGCTTGAGGCAAGGAGTTCGAGACCAGCCTGACCAACATGGTGAAACCCTGTGTCTACCCAAAATAAAAAAATTAGCCAGTCTCACAAGCTGATCTCAAAATAAATAAATAAATAACTTTTAAAAAATAAACAACAAAAAAAAGATAATACATCATGATCAAGTATGATTTATCCCAGGGATACAAGGATGGTTCAACACACACAAATCCATAAATGTGACACATCATAACAACATAATAAAGGACAAAAACTCTATAGTCATTTCAATAAATGTTGAAAAAGCATGTGATAAAATTGATATAAATCCCCAATAAACTGGGCATAGAAGGAACACACAGCATAATAAAGGCCATATATGAAAAACCCACAGCTAACACTATACTTAATGGGAAAAAGCTGAAAGCATTCCCTCTAAGAACTGGAACAAGTCAAGAGTTCTCATTTTCACCACTCTTATTCAACATCGTACTGGACATCTTGCCAGAGTAATCAGGCAAGGGAAAAAAAAAAGGCATTCAAACTCAAAAAGCAGGAAGTCAACATTTTCCCTGTTTGCTGAGGATATGATCTAGAAAACCCTAAAGACTCCATGAGAAACTCTTGGATTTGATACATGAATTCAATAAAGATTCAGGATATAAGATTAATATATGAAAACCAGTAATGTTTCTATACACCAATAATCATCTAGCCAAGGATTAAATCAAGAAAGCAATCTCATTTACAATAGCTACAGAAAAAAAAAAAAATGAACAAGTGTGGTGGCTCATGCCTGAAATCACAGCACTTTGGGAGGTCCAGGCTGGAAGACAGCTCGGGTCCAAGGGCTTAAGACCAGCCTGAACAACATAGTAAGACCTTATCTCTACAAAAACCAAAAAGGAAATTAGTCAGGTGTGGTGGTTCATTCCTGTAGTCCCAGCTACTTGGGAAGCTGAGGCAGGAGAATCACTTGAGCCTACCAGGTCGAGGCTACAGTGAGCTCTGATAGCACTACTGTACTCTAGCCTGGGCGACGGAGCAAGACCCTGTCAAATAAAATTAAAAATAAGATAAAATAATAAAATCTAAAACAAAATACCTAGGAATATATTTAACCAAGGAAGTAAAAGGTCTCTATAAGAATAACTACAGGCCAAGTGCGGTGGCTCACGCCTATAATCTCGGCACTTTGGGAGGCTGAGGTGGGGAGATCACTAGGGGCCAGAAGTTCAAGGCCAGTCTGGTCAACACGGCGAAACCCCATCTCTACTAAAATACAAAAATTACCTGGGCCTCGTTGTGGGTGTCTGTAAACCCAGCTACTCGGGAGGCTGAGACACAAGAATCACTTGAACCTGGGAGGCAGAGGTTGCAGTGAGCCCAGATCGCACCACTGCACTTGCACTCCAGCCTGAGCAACGGAGGGAGACTCCATCTCAAAAAAAAAAAAAAAAAGAGAGAGACATGGGAGACTCCTCCAAAAAGTGGGGTTTGAAAAATATCTACTGGGTACAATGTTTACTCTTCCAGTGATGGGTACACTAAAACCCCAGACTTCACACTATGTGCAAGAAATGTGTGCTTTTTTTTTTTTTGAGACTGAGTTTCGCTCCTGTTGCCCAGACTGGAGTGCTATGACATAATCTCGGCTCACTGCAACCTCTGTCTCCAGGGTTCAAGCAATTCTCCTGCTTCAGCCTCCCAAGTGGCTGGGATTACAGGTGCATGCCACCATGCCGGACTAATTTTTGTATTTTTGGTCAAGATGGTGTTTCACCATGTTGGCTTGGCTGGTCTCGAACTACAGATCTCAAGTGACTGCCCGCCTCGAACTCTCGAAGTGCTGAAATTACAGGCGTGAGCCACTGCGCCCAGCCAAAAAAGGTGAACTTCTAAAAAATAACTTTACATTAATATTTATATTATTTTCCTTTTTTTTTTTTTTTTTGCGCCAAGGTCTCACTCTGTTGCCCAGGCTGGAGTGCAATGGTGTAACCATTGCACTTTGTAGCCTTGGCCTCCTGGGCTCAAGGATCCTCCTGCCTCACATTCCAGAGCAGCTGGGATTACAGGCACATGCCACCATGTCCAGTTAATTTTTTCTATTTTTTCGTAGAGTTGGGGTTTCACCATGTTGCCCAGGCTGGTCTCGAACTCCTAAGCTCAGGCAATCTACCTGCCTTGGCCTCCTAACGTGTTACGATTACAGTGATTAATATTTCAAATAGATTATCCTGAAAAAAAAAAAAAAAGATAAAACTTACCTTTTAAGGCTATAGTTTCTTTTGACTATTTCTCTCCTTCTCCATTCTTGTTTGTTTGTTTTTTGAGACGGAGTCTCGCTCTGTTGCCCAGTCTGGAGTGCAGTGGCACAATCTTGACTCACTGCAAGCTCCACCTCCCAGGTTCATGCCATTCTCCTGCCTCAGCCTCCCAAGTAGCTGGGAGTACAGGTGCCCGCCACCATGCCTGGCTAATTTTTTAATTATTATTTTTATTTTTAGTAGAGAAGGGTTTTCACTGTGTTAGCCAGGATGGTCTCGATTTCCTGACCTCGTGATCCACCCACCTCAACCTCCCAAAGTGTTGGGATTACAGGCGTGAGCCACCACACCCGGCCTCCTTCCCCACTCTTTTACCTGGTACATCATTTTGGTATACATCCATCTAATCCATTTTCTATATGATGATGTTTCTCTGTGTGTACTATTATGTGGATTAGGTATTATCATCCCCACTGTGTGTATGAGAAACTAATATTTACTAAGTTGCACAAGCAGCTAAATAGGAAGTAAGAAGACCAACAGTGAAAACTTGGTACATTTAGCTTTAGTGCTTTTCCCATTATCCCATGATACTTCCTGAACTGTCCAGTATGGCAGCTACTGGCCACACGCTATCTAAATTTTAACTAAAATGTAAGAAAACTAAGAATTCAGTTCTTCAGTTGCACTAACCACATTTCAAGTGTCCCATAGCCACACAAGTCCTTAATGAATGGCACAGATACAGAGTGTTTTCATCACAACAAAAAATTCTTTTGGAAAGTAGCATCTTCAAGAGACAAATTCCTGACATTCTGTTTTATAAATACAAGCCAGGAAAGGTATGTGGATATGGGGATTCCCCAAAAGAAAAACATTTTTTTAAAAAAGCATAAGAAGTGGGTAGACCAGGTGTGGTGGCTCACGCCTGTAATCCCAGCAGTGTGGGAGGCCGAGGCAGGTGGATCACCTGAGATCAGGAGTTCAAGACCAGCCTAGCCAACATGGCAAAACCCAGTCTCTACTAAAAATACAAAAACAGCCAGGTGTGGTGGTGTGCGCCTGTAATCCCAGCTAATCGGGAGGCTGAGGCAGGTGAATCGCTTGAACCCTGGAGGCAGAGGTTGCAGTGAGCCAAGATCATGCCACTGTACTCTAGCCTGGGTAACAGAGACTCTGTTTCAAAACAAACAAACAAAAAAAGAAGTGGGAAAAGAGTAATGTCTTCATTCTCAGAAAACTGATTCTCTATTTGGAAAATACGGTAAATCCACAGAAATACTATTAGAATACTAAAGTATGTGGATGCAAAATTCACATAAATGAATACTGTTAATTTTATATAACAATCAACTGTAAAATAGAGAAACTGCACAATAGGAAATACAACAAAAATACACAAAAAAACTTATGATGAAAATATCTATGCTGCAGGACAGAGATGATAGTCTCAATAAACAGGTATATCATATTTACAATGGGCATATACAACAGAATAAAAATGTCAATTAAAAAAATATGTGAGCTGGATGCAGTGGCTCATGCCTATAATCCCAGGATTTGGAAGGCTGGGGCAGAAGCATCGCTAGAGCCCAGGAGCTCAAGACCAGCCTAGGCAATACAGAAAGACCCAATCTCTACACAAAATTTTAAAAATTAGCCAGGTGTGGTAGTGCCCGCCAGTAGTCTCAGCTACTCATGAGGCTGAAGTGGCAGGATCACTTGAGTCCAGGAGGTCGAGGCTGCAGTGAGCCATAATCACACCACTGTACTCCAAGCCTGGGCAAGATCCTGTCTGTATAAAATTTAAAAAATTAGCCGGGCATGGGAAGCTGCAGTTAGTCATGATTACACCACTGCACTCTAGCCTGGGACATAGAGTGAGACCTTATCTCAAAAAAGAACCTATTTATGTTTATTAATATGCAACTGTTTTAATTACTAAATGCCCATTATGTAGCCATAAAAAATTAGAATATGCTTTATGCTGTACTGGAGCAAATTCGCAAGTACTATAATGTCATTTTGGGGTGGGGATAGGACAGTAAGGTATAAAAATGGGTTATATGGTAAACATAACCCATAAATGTTAATAAAAAATAAATGATTATTTGGGTAAACATAAAACAAAACACAAATAACAAAAACATAAAAAGAGGGAGACTATGTGATATGGTTTGGCTGTGTCTCCACCCAAAACTCATCATGCATTGTAGTTCTCATAACCCCCATGTGTCATGGGAGGAACCCAGTGGGAGGTAACTGAATCATGGGGGTGGTTACCTCCATGCTGTCCTCATAATAGTGAGTTCTCACGAGATATGATGGTTTTATAAGGGGCTCTCACTGCGTTGCTCTGCACTTTTCCTTGCTGCTGCCATGTGAAGAAGGACATGTTTGCTTCCCCTTCTGCCATGATTGTAAGTCTCCTGAGGCCTCCCCAGCCCTGCAGAACTATAAGTCAATTAAACCTCTTTCCTTTATAATTCACCCAGTCTCAGGCAGTTCTTTATAGCAGTGTGACAATGAACTAATATGTATTTATATTTACTTGTTATACATAGATTTCCTATAAAGAAATATAAGAAATTAGTAGCACTGGTTAGTACTATCTGTAACTATTAGTACTATTAGTTAGATTAGTACTATAGGGATAACTATAGTTTATCCCTAATGAGCTGTTATTGGTAGGACAGAGGCAGGAAAACAGCTATTTATTAGATACCACCTTAAAGCTTTTGAATTTTAAAATGTGGAGAACAGAATACTTAAGAAAAACCTGATGTAATTTAATTAATAAAATATGTCTTATAGGGGAGAAGTACATGATATTGTATATTTAGGTATGTGTTGAATTTTATAAAAACTAGATACTCCATAGTGTCTAACTTCCTCTTTCTACCCAATATCAAGATAGATGGTTTCTACTTTCAAGAACTTGATGGATACAAAATATTCCACTGTAAGGTTCTAAAACATTTAATTAGTAGGAAAGCTTGAATATTTTACTTGGTTTATGAGAACTCAATTTTTCTTGCTAGCATGAGAGGGAAGATCCCTGCAGATCAGATCCCCAGTGAAACTGGTACATACTCTTTAAAAGAACACAACTATCTAAAATCTCTGGAAGTGGTCCTAACAGTATGCAGCAAATGAAGAAACGTTTATTCAAGAAAATGTACTAAAACTCAGTAAGAAAAGCAAGAGTCTGTGGTATGTGAATCAAGATGCTGCTCCTTTCTTCCCCACCCTCAGCTCAATGAGAAAGAAAAACCACTCTAGCTGGCTACAGCCAAGAACACAGGCCTCCCTCTCCCAGAGGTCCAAGTTGGAAAGCTATGCCTTAGTACAGAGCTGAAAGCCTGCCTTCCTAGCGGGGTGAGGGGCAGGATGTCAGCATTTCCCATCCTACCACAGCAACCTCCTGCTGCTAAGTTAGAAGGTACACATGGCTAAGAAGTTGACATTCAATCCCCTCTTCTAGCCAGCCCCCACTCATGGGGCAGAGAATTTGAAAAGATATTTCTCTGGAAAGGATAGGTGAATAGTCAATGAACACATGAAAATATGCTTAACATACTTAGTCATCAAAGAAATGCAAATTAAAACCACAATGAGATACCATCTCACACCCAGTAAGATTATTGTAATTTTAAAAGTCAGGTAATCCATGTAACTCAACAATTCCATCCTAGGTATATTACCAAAGGAATTCAAAGCAGAAACACCAATAGATATTTGTATGCTAATGCTCACTGCAACATTTTTGCAACTGCCAAAATGCAAAAACAAATAGACATCAACTGATGGAAAAGCAAAATGTAGTACACAGCCATAAAATGGAATGTTGTTCAGCCCGAAGAAGTTATCAACTACTGATACATTCAACATCAATAAACCCTGAAAACATTTTGCTGCATGGAAAAAGCCAATTTAAAAAGACCACATATTATATGATCCAATTTACATAAAATATTCAGAAAAGGCAACTCTATATAAGGATAGAAAGTAGATTATCAGCCGCTTAGTGCTAGAGAAGATGAGGGGATGGAAGATGATAACTAAAGGGTACAGGGTTTGTTTGTTTTTTGTTTTTTGAGACAGAGTTTCACTCTTGTTGCCCAGGCTGGAGTGCAATGGCACAGTCTCAGCTCACTGCAACCTCCGCCTCCCGGGTTCAAGCGATTCTCCTGTCTTAGCCTCCCAAGTAGCTGGGATTACAGGCGCCCACCACCACACTCGGCTCATTTTTTTATTTTTAGTAGAGACAAGGTTCACCATGTTGGCCAGGCTGGTCTCGAACTCCTGACCTCAAGTGATCCGCCCACCTGGGCCTCCCAAAGTGCTGGGATTACAGGCATGAGCAAATGTGCCTGGCCAAGGGTACAGGGTTCTTTATGAGGTGAAAAAAAAAAATTATCAAATTCACTTTGGTAACAGTTGTACACATTTGTGACTATAATAAAAATCAATGAATTGTATACTTTAAATGGGTGAACTGAAGGGTACCGAATTATCAACCATTAAAGCTGTCACTAAAATTTTTTTCTCTTAAGTACTTATTCATATACATTTGCTCCTTTTTATACTGAAATATTTATTTTCTTCAATTGCTTTAAAACACTAATACGAGGAAAAGCACCCAGTAAACATTGCATATATTTTATAAATGTTTTTATTTTTCAAATATAGGAAAACATAAGACTTGAATGTACAATCATGTAGCCTCTTTTCAACTTGAGACTGGCACAATAATGAAGCCTTAGAAAAAACCTTCCCTATTCCACAGTTTTCTCCTGCCCCCCCATTTTAGCTACATCTGCTGGAATGGAATCCACAGTTTTGAATGATTTCCCTGTCTACATCGAAATATTTGAAAAATCAGAATTTATACTGATAAAAATATAGCCAGGTACCCAAAGATTACCATTTGCACTGCTTTATAAACTCATTTAGCAAAGTAGTGCACATAGTATTTCACCGTTCTCAACCCTCTTCATGTAACATACAAAGAGAAACAGAACAGAGGACACATTGTTCCAACCAAAACCCCAGCAAGTTATTTTGTGGCTATCAATCAAATGATTAAGTTTCTATGGAAAGGCAAAATACGTAGCATAGCCAGCACAACATTGAAGAACAAAGTCAGAGGACTGACACTATATGACTTGACCACCTGACTATAATGCTGCGACAATTAAGACAATGTGGTACTCACGAAAGAATAAACAAATAGATCAGTGAAACAAAACTGGGAATAAAAATCTGTATGTGAATGTTTATAGCAGATCTATTCATAAATGCCAAAAAAAGGAAGCAATCAAGATGTTCTTCAAAAGGTGAATGAATAAACACTTACATGTTCATACAATGGAATATTTTTCAGCGATAAAAAAGGAAGCAGCCACCAAGCCATGAAAACACATGGACAAAACTTAAATGTATATTATTAAATGAAAGAAGCCAATCTAAAAGGCTAGATCTTATGATTACAACTATATGACATTCTGAAAAAGGCACAACTATGGAGACAGTACAAAGAACAGTGGTTACCAGAGGTCTGGGGATTAGGAAGGGATGCAGGATTAATAGAATTTCTTAGGGCAGTAAACTCTTCTGTGTGATCCTGTCATGGTGGAATACATAAAATTGCGCATTTGTCAAAACCCACACAACTGTAGAACATAAAGAGCGAACTCGAATTTCAACTATAAATTTAGTTAAAAATAACATACCACTATTAGTTCATCAATTATATGTACTACACTAATGCAAAATATGAATAAGTAAACTGTGAGTAGGAACTGCATATATGGGAACTCTGTACTATCTGCTCAATTTTCTGTGAACCTAAAAATACTCAACAGCAATTTAGATAAAATTATAAAAGAATACAAGTAATACAAGATATGTTTATGTTTTAAAAATTAAATTATTATGAAGGTATTAAGAACAACCAAAACCACAAAATGAGAATCTTCTTCTCCATACATGAATAATGAAGACAGTCTAGCATGCTAAAGTTCAATAAGGAAGAGAAGGGGAAAAAGAGATCCCACAAATTTGCAAGCACAAATATAACTGATAATTCCAATTGTTAAAATCTAGAAATAATAATAATTTTATTTTTTTTTAAGTTGGAGTCTCACTCTGTCACTCAGGCTGGAGTGCAATGGCATGATCTCGGCTCACTGCAACCTTCACCTCCCGGGTTCAACCAATTCTCCTGCCTCAGCCTCCCGAGTAGCTGCGATTACAGGGGCCCACCACCACGCCTGGCTAGTTTTTGTATTTTTAGTAAAGACGGGGTTTCACCATGTTGGCCAGGCTGGTCTCGAACTCCTGACCTCGTGATCCGCCCGCCTCAGCCTCCCAAAGCGCTGGGATTATAGGCGTGAGCACTGCCCCCAGCAAAATCTAGAAATAAATAAATAAATATATATATATATATACATGATTAAAGCATTATTTCTTCATATAAACATAAAAGATAATCCCAGAAACTTTAAAAAAAACTTTAGGTTCAAAAAAAACCTTGAATATAAT